>NC_000010.11:79082489-79234004 GCF_000001405.40 Homo sapiens
CCCAAACTATTGGAGCAGGAGGGACCTGGGCAGCCAGTCTACTTAATGCCCTTCTCATCCCATTTCCCAGATTAGAGCCCTGAGGCCAGAGAGGGAAGGAATCCAGCTGCAGAGCTGCAGGCAGGATCCCATGTCCTCCCAGCCTCACTGGCTTGGTCTCCCCCTACTTTCACCCTTTGCGCCCGAGGCTGTCCTTGGCCTTCCCAGGCTTTGTGTGGAGTGAAGGACGATGGGGGACAATGGGCAGAGTAGCAACTGCTACTTTTCCCTCAGGGCTCCTCTAGACCTCTGCCAGGCCCTGCGTCACTTCCAGTTCTGGGGAGCCCATGCACTGAATGGGCTGGGAGGGTCCTGCTGGTGGGGCCTCGTGCCAGCCTGAGAACAAGGCTTCCTGGCTGGGCTTGAGTCCCCAGCACTCTGGCCCTGGGGAGGGCAGAGTCTGGGGTCCTTTTGTGCCTCCCCTCGCCCAGCTACCCAAGGAAGGTGGATTCATGTATTCCTTTGTCAAGTTTATCAAGCACCTTCCATGTGCCAGGCACTCTTCCAGGCCCTGGGGATACATTGGTGAATTTGACAGGGGCCCTGCTTACATTCTAGTAGGCGAGACAGTCAGCAGGTCAACAACTTAATGCATGACATCATGCCTGAGTTATAATCAGTGCTTTGAAGAAAAATAAACCAGGATAAGGTGATATAGGGACATGAGTGGGTGATGGGGCTTCTTTAGGTGGTGTGGTCAGGGAAGGCTTCTCTGAAGAGGCTGCATTTGAGCACATACCTCAGGGAGACAGGGAAGTGAACTCCATGAACATTTGGGAGAAGAGCTCTCCAGGCAGTGGGAACAGCATGTGCAAAGGCCCTGTGGCAGATGCTTGTTTGGCGTGGTCTGGGAAAAGCAGGGAGGCCAGTGTGGCTAGATGGAGTGAGGGAAGGAGAGAGTGGGGAGGAAGTCAACAGAGTGATCAGGGACCAGGTGATAAGGGACAGAGAGCCTTATCAAGTACAGGAAGGGCTTCTGACTTCATGCTCAGTGATTTGGAAGCCACTGAAGGATTTTAAGTAAAGGACTGAGGCTATCAGATGTGTCCCTCTAAGATCTCTGGCTGATGAGCCGAGAATAGACTGAAGGGACAAGGGTGGCCACAAGGAGACCATCTGGGCAGCATTTACAGGAACCCAGGAAAGGATGCTGGCGGCTTGGACCAGAGTGTTCAGTGGAGGTAGTGAAACAAGGTCGGATCCTGAATGTATTTTAAAGATTGACTGAGGCTGTGGCCAGGAGCCCACTGGGAATGCCTGTCCACCTCCGTGAAACAGGCTGAGCTAGAGAACTGGCTCAAGTTGCTGTGTCCTGGGAGTCTGAGCCCTTCTCCTTTTGTGCTTGTCAATTCCTGTGCCTCAGCCACTCTGTCATAAGGTGGCCTTTTAACAGTTGGAAAAATAGAGGCATAGTGGGTCTTCCTGATACCCTTGTCTACCCTTGGAATTCTGATATTCTGCATTTGGTCTCTCTCCTCCCCTCTGGCTGATTCCCTGGCATTCATCCCCTGCATGTTCATACACTCCACTCTATGCACCATAGTTTCCCAACATGTTAGTCATCCTCTATCCCGAGGCCTTTGCATATGCTAAGTCCTCCACCTCCACTCTTCAGTCAGGTGAACTCCTACCCATCCTTAAGAGCCCAGCTCAAAAGCTGCCATCTTTGAACTCTCTCCCCTGACACTCTCAGGCACTGAGGATTTCTTCTCCACTGAAAATTCTACTCCTCTCCCTCCCACACTCTATTGCAAGGGATCAACTGCGTGGGGCTGGGTCTGTGCCTTCCTTCACACCTCCTCTTTCTGTTCTGTGTCCTCACAGCCTGGCCCAGGGCCAGCACAGAGGAGGGAACAAAAACATTTCAGTGTATTCCTGGAGCAGTAGTTGGTTACTATGGAAACAAGGAAGTGTTGCAACTTCCTGAACTTGAGGTTGGGGTCAAAGAGGGCAGCTCTATCTTGGCCACACGGGATCAACCCAAGATGGCCATGCTGAGGTTCTTATTAATTCAAAGTCACTTCGGACAGGCTCTTTCCCATCCCTGAGCCTCAGCTTACCCCATCAATAAGATGCAGGTGTTGGGACTGCTTGACTGTCTGCTCTAACGTTCTGTATCCTTGTGCCTCCAATCCTGCCGTATGAACACAGGCAGGTCCTTTGCCCTCTTTGAGCCTCAGTTTCCCTATTTTGTTGACCTCTCTCCAAGAACATAGCTGCCTGAGTCAAGCAACTCCAGAATCCTAGGGTCAGCGGCTGGGCTGGCCGTTGATGATTGAACTGGGATTCTTGTGACTTGCAGAGGCACAAAGAGGGAAGTCCTGCTTTCCAGGGTGGTGGGGTGGGGGTGGGGGAATGAGGCAGCAGGAGGGTGGGTTGGTAGGGATAATCCAGGCCGGCTCACTCTGGCCTGAACCTGCACAGGCCCCTGGGTCTCCTTTCTTCACCTTGAAGGTGGCAGGAGCTAGTGCTTGCCAGGGGCCCTTGGCTCTGCCGGACGCTGCCCGCTCCGCATTCTGGTGCCGTGCCATGTAGATCCCGGCCTGTGCTCTGAGGGCCACAGGTCCTGTGGTGGCCCCAGAGGCTGCCTGCTGCCTGTGGTGGCAGGGCTGAGTGGGTGGGCACCATGTTCTTACTGTGTCTCTTCTCTCTCCACTTCATTGCTCAGAAGCCAAGAGTTAGCCAAGCACAAAACCACAGCCTGGCTGCTGGCACCCTCCTCTGCAACCCTGCAGCACCTGGGCAGGCTGGTTCTGGGGGCTCAGCACCAGTCACCAGGGCTCGGATGTAGCCTCCTCAAGCTGGGGGTGGGGGTCAAGGGGCCAACATGCCCAGCGTGACGCCAGGCCCGCAGTTGAGTTCCCACCTGCCATTTGCACATGCCATTGGGCAGAGTGGGCAGAGGCCTCAGCCCGCATAACGCCCCACCCTGACTCCTGCCTGGCACTCAGGTGCCGTCTGGCCTGCACCAGACCCAGAAAGAGTGACCTGGGATGAGAGGCCTTCCATGGCTCTCTGGGCCTGCCTCCTCATCTGAAAAATGGGCAGAGGGTGCCCGCCTCCCATGGCCACCAGGAGGGGAGACAGAGGAAGGCAGCTTGTGATCTCCAGAGCCCAATAAACACGCTTGTTAGGATTACCAGCAGCAGGCAACAGGCTTCAGCCCAAGAGATGCCCCTGAGAACCTCTTTTTCAGGAAGCAAAAGCCCAAACCTTTTCAGAATGAGACTCTTATTCTGGGAATGAGAAGTGCCTCTCCCTCTGTTTCTGAGCTGTGCCCAGTGGCCAGGGACCTGAGTGGCCATCACAACGTGCCTTTCCCGCCTACCACTGCTCCCTGGCTTTCTAGGGTTGGAGTTGGATGAAACCCCTGGGGCAGCACCGGGCACTGGAAGGGCCCTGGTAAGGGAGAGGATACCCACTGCCCATCTCTGCCACTCATCAGCTTCCTGACCCTGACGAGTCCTTGTCTCTCTGCCCTCTGTGCATTGAGGCCCCTTCTAGCTGGGACTCTCCTTTGGAGTCTACTGGAGCATTTTTACCTCCAGGATAGGTGAGGCTCCCTACTCCAGACCCCCAGGATGTAATGTGGGTCTCACCTCAACTCACAAAATTCTCACTTCTGTTAAGAAAGGGCCTTGCCATGGTTGACGGGGATTTGCACTTCACCGTGTGGACAGTGACAGAATGCGTCTCCCCGCCCCTCCTTACCTGGCAAACTTTGTCATTACCTCCTCCCAGGGACCTCCTAGGCATTCTCCTCTGGACTCCCTCAGCCCTCAGCCTTCTCCTCCTCCCGGTACCAGCTAGGTCAGACAAGACCTGGAGCAGAGAAGGTGCCCAGTAAAGCCTGATGAGTTCTTGAATGATCAAGTGAAAGCCCTCAGGTATCCAGATAGTTCAGTTGGCCAGAAAGCCCATTTTTCTCAGATTTTACTCAGCTATGTTTGCTTGTTCAGCATATAGAATCCTTTTTATTTTTATTACTTCATTTTATTTTGTAGAAACTGGGTCTCAGTCTGTCACCCAGGCTGGAGTACAGTGGTGTGATCATGGCTTACTGCAGTCTCGAACTCCTGGACTCAAGCGATCCTCCCACCTCTGCCTCCTGCTGGGACTACCGGCACGAGCCATCACCCCGGCTAATTGAAAAAAATTTTTTTTGTAAAGACGAGGTCTTGCTTTGTTACCTAGGCTGGTAGGATCTTTTGTTATTTATTTTTTATTTTTTTATTTTTATTTTTTTTAAAGATAATCTTTTTGGAAGCTCTGTGTCCAGGACTGATTCTCTATACCTTTGGCCAATCTCTTTCTTTTAAAACTAGGGTTTCCTGAATTGCATTTTTGCATTTCTTTTATTTACCTGGTCTGTGCAACTATTTTTTTCTCTTTTGGACTCCATATAGCAAATAATTCTGCCTCTCCTTTTATTTGAATTTCTCATGCCAAAAAGGCAGGGAGGGTTAGTAAACACTGCTTTGGTTGTTCTTTGTTTTGTTAAGTGTTTTTAACTTCTTAGTGTGTTAGACTAGATTTTATCTGCCTTTCCTACCTGCCTTAACCCCAGGCCTCTAACCCTCCACCTTCCCATTGCTTGTTCACTGGCATTGTGTCTCCTAGGACAGCTGTGTGTGGTAGCGCATGTTGCGCACTGCACAAGTTGGGGGTGGTACTCACATTTTAGTCCCCTCACATTATACATGTATTAGATGATTTTTTGGCAGGTGATGGTAAAGTGTTGGAGGAAGGGGAGCCTGGTTCTAATTCTCATAAAGCCACCTTGGATTAGGAGTAGGCTGACATTGTCCCATGGTCCTGGCTGAAATTGGGAAGTCATTTTGACTCCTTCCCCAGGGCTGTACCCCGTGACATTGGGTGTCCATGTCCCCATTCCCCTGCCCAGAGCATGGCTTATGGGAGTATGTAGTCAGGGAACTGATGTCTTTGGACTCCACCTTCTGGATGTTTCTCCAGCCACCTCTCCTGTCTACATCCCCAGGCAGCAACCTTCTCCCTCAGGTGTCTACCTCCAGCTTCCCCTTTTCCATCGCCCCTTCACTTGGCTACCAGTGTGAACCTGAATAAAAGGCACCCCTGATCTATCACCTCTTCCACTCTACTTAAAACTCCTTCGTGCCTCTCTACGATCTACAATCTGAAATTCAGTGCCCTTCATTCTCTGGCCCCAGATGAACTTTCACTTGTGTGTGCTTTGCACGTTGTGTTCCTCTCTGCTCTGTCTGCCTGGAGAACTCCTAGGCATCCTGCAAACTCTGCCCAAGCCTCAGCTTGCCCTCATGCACCAGCTAGGTCAAGCGGATTGGTCCTCCCCTTGCCCCGGTTCCCCAGGCACTGTTTCCTGACCAGTGTTGCAGCCCTTGCTTGGCAGGATCGCAGCTACCTTTAGAATACCACAGCCACCACCAGGCTCTGGCTCCCTGTCACCCAGCAGCACCAGCTTGGATCTAGCAAACATTCCAGTGCGCTCCCTGCAAGTTGAATAACACATGGTGGCTACCCTTTCCCAGAGCTGGTCGGCTTTGTGATGTGGACCATGTGCATGGTCTGACCCCTGGCCCCTTCTTTTGCCCTTTCCCCTGCCAGCCAAAGCCAGAGAGATGGCTGGGCCATGCCAGGCTCCCAGGAGCGCTTTGTGGGTCAGGTTGTTTTGCCCAAAGCTACTGGGTCTGAGGATACCTGTGAGCTTGCTGTGCCTGCATTGCCGCTGCCCAGGCTTGGCTTCCTGGGAGAATTGGCTCGGCAACAGCAGCCTGGGCCAGGCCACAAGGCTTCTTGGGCAAAACTCCCTGGGCAGGGCCAGGGGCTGGGGCCTCATATGCACTGCCTGTGCACCAGGCGAGTCTGTGGGCAAATGAGCTCCAGCTTGCCATGGTGCTGGGGGAGGGCCACCCTTCTGCTGGGTAAACATGGGTGTTCAGGCCTGCCTAGGCACGGCCCTGGGTTCTTTCGGTTAAAGGTGCAGGACAGCATTTTGTCGAGCCGGGAGTTGCCAGTGAGAGGGTGACAGAGAGGGACACATGGGAACCTTCACCAACCTTCCCTGGGACTCGGCCCCTACAGGCTTTAAGCAGAGGCTGCAAGGAGGCTTAGGGGTCCCTGGGCCAGGACTACTGTTCCGACTCTGAGATCTTTTATCTGCTGCAATGCTGGCTGCTTTCTGGGACTTGGGGAAGGTGGGTGGGCTGTGAGCAGGTGCGTTTCCTAAGCCAGGTCTGAGACCAGAGCTTCCATTTAGCGGTCCCCACTGCAAATGCATTTCAGTCCTTGCTCCCCCAGGCAAAGCTCACATCCTTGGGAACATCCTTCCTGCACCAGGCATGGTACTTTGGGGTCTGGAGACTGTCGCAGCACCCCTCTGAAGTGGGTGGTATTATCCCATTTTGCAGAGGAGGAAGCTGGAGTTCAGAGTGCTGAACTTGTTCAGCCTCCACAGCTGCTCAGGGAATCAGGTCTTCTACTCCCTACGTGAGGCCACAGCTTGATTTTTCTTTTCTGGTCCGTGGCTGTTTGTACAAACGAGTATCCTGTGGACATGGTTGTCTGCCCCTGCCCCTCCGACAGGACAGCGCTGAGCAGGTACCTGGGCTGGTGCCACACTTGGGGAGGTGGACACGTAGCCTCAGAGCCCGAAGCAACTGGTGGGGTTCATTCCCATGGAGGAGAGGTTCTCCGTGGTCCACGGCCGGAGCCTCCGCATGTCAGATCCTTCTCCCCACCCAGATGGAGCCAAGTGGGCCCCACATCAGTGAAGGAAAAAGCCCTTGGCTCTTGTGCAAACACAAATTGTGGAAGAGTGGCATCAACAACACGAGGTGCTCCCCATCCATCCGGCTCACTTTCCTTCTACGAGATGAACTCAGCTCAGGGTGTTTTGTGCCTTCTCCGGTTTGCTCTAGTTTGGTTTTGGTCTGGTACAATTGAAGTCTTTGCCTCCTTCCGACAGAAGCACTGGACCCCTCTCCCTGGGCCCTGAAAACCCGGAGGGGTACTGGGACTGCTGTGTTGGATCAGAGGAGTCAGGTAGAAATTAGGGGTTCTGGGTGCAGGGAGCACTTGAGGTGCCTGCTGCATGCTCCCTGAAGACAAAATCCCAGGGAGGATGTGTCAGTTCCGAGGGCCACTGAGATCACCACCTCCGTGAGCATGAGCAAGACCCTATTGGCCGCACCTGGGACAGCCTTCCTGGGCAGGGCCAGTCCTACCACCTCCTTTGTCCCTCTCCCACTCCCCAGACCCCCACCCCCTACCCCTCAGGCCACCTGCTCCCTTTTTACCCAGGCACATGTCCATGTGTGCCCTTACAAGCTCCTGGCTTTCGGAAGGGAGGGGACAGGTTGTAGAGAGACGGGATGCGCCGGAGTGTAATTTTATTTCTGTGGCTCTCCTTTCAAGCTGTCACGGTAAATCTATTTTACTTGTCACTTTGTAAATCATTATGCAGGATTAAGCCTTTTACCAGCTTTTAAGGCTTCTGCAACCAGGGACAACCCCACCTCTCCCTCATCCTGCCTTCTTTCCCTCACCTCCCTTCTGAATGACCCTACTGCTGTGTCTTAAGGCTCAGTTAGAATGTAAGTGGGGACCCAGGAGACAGCTTGCTGTCATTGAGTTTAGCTGCCCCATTTTACAGGTGGGAAAACAATCCCTGGAGAGGGAGGGACTCCCAGGTGCAGTGCCTGGGGTGCTTAGTGTTTTGTGGTGCCCCTGAGCAGTGGGGAGGGAAGTTGCTGAAAGCAACCGAGCCTGGGCATGGGACTTGGAGGGTTTTTTTTCTCATCCCCCATGGGGACCTGGAGGCCCCCTGTGGCTGTGGCAAGATTGCTCAAGACCCACAAGGAGACCCCGTTTGGAAGAGGAGACATACTTGGAGGGAGAGAAGGACCTTCTGCCCCCTCTCAGGGTGTGGGGCTGGTGGGGTAGGGGACTGGTGACAGGAAGCTGGAGGTGGGAATGTGGTCACAGTCACCCTACTGGCATGTGGGATCCCGTTTATTTATTTCTCCAGAAATCTGTGTCCTTCTCCAGAGAAGGCTTTGAGGTGCAAGAACAATGAAGCCATGTGCTGAGATGTTGAGAGTTGCAGATAGTGGCTGGGACTACTAGGCCAAGAGCCAGCAGTGTGCAGCGGTGCGTTTCCTTTCACGGGTCCATCTGGAGCAGCCTGCTCACAAAACCAGAGTGAAAAGATGCTCACCCACAAGGCTGATGTGCATTGTGGGAGCTGAGGTTTGGGGGGTGCCCACTTTGAGAAGCCAGGGATGTATGTGCCCAGGGCCAGACTGCCCAGCTGGGCCATGCCGGGTTTGACAGCCTTAGGTCTTGCTGCCTTTTCCATCGGGATACACTGGCCTCATCGCCAGGTCAAGGGCTTCCTCCCTATTGCTGGGGTTCCAGGGCTGTCCTCTGCCCGTCTGTGCCAATAGAGGGCCCCGCCTTGGGGGGCTCACACTCACCTGTCCTGCTTCCACCACTCCCCACCTAGACCTCTGCTGTCTTGAGCCCAGATGAATTAATCTCTTGCAGCAATTTCAGTCTACCAAGAGACCTTCTCCAGCATCTTCTAGGGGAGGGTCCTGTGCTTTGGGGAAGCTGGACTGGGTGACATTCATTTCCACAGCCCTCTTTGCTTTCCCTGTTCAAGCCACCATGATGTGCAATGGCAGCTGCCTCTTTTTTTTAACTTAAAATTTTAAAATTTTGTGAGTACATAAGTAGGTATATGTATTTATGTGGGCAACTGCCTATTTATTGGCCTATTTCTAGACTCGAGCTGTTCTGCAAAGCCAGAGCCTTGTCTCTTATCCCCTAGCACGGGGGCCATAACGGCACAGGCTAAGGCAATATTTCTCCATTAGAAGGATGGCCAAACAAGAGTCCTCAGACCCTGACCTCAAGGAGTTTCACAGTCTGCATTGGAAACAACCTTGGCTACTCAGCAGAATAGCTGCAAGGAGTACTGAAAGCTTCAGAGAAATCGGCTAATAAGTTCCAAGGAGTGAGATGAGAATGAGCTAGAGTGGTCGGTGGGGAGGGGCCTCCTGGAGGAGGGGGCATTTAAGGGCTGCACTGAGGATGGAGAGGCTTTAGCTAGAACAAGGCAAGGAGCGGGAGGAAAGGTACTTCTGGGCGGTGGAACCGGCATGACCAAAGGAAGGGAGGTGTGCCTGTGGGGGTGCTGGGGCAGCTCAGCCAGCACCCATGGACTTTAGGGGAAGAACAGAGGCCAAGTTTCTAGGGATGGCTGGGACCCCAGAAGGAAGCCAGGGTTAGGAGGGAACACTTATTCTAGAAGTGGGGAGGGAGAGGTGTGTGACAGACTGGGTGAGGACAGAGCAGTGTTTTAGGAGATTTAGTGACAGGGAGCCACCTGGGTTGGAGGAGACCTGAGCCTATTAATTAGGCAGGTGAGTGGAGTCCCTGAGGTGTACTTCAGGACCAACCAGGCTCCCTGTACTGGGTGGGATGGGGCAGGGCTTAGGGGCTGGTGCTGTTCCCACCAGCCCCGCTCCATGCTGAGTGGGAGAGGAGGTGGCAGCAGCAGCTGGGGCTTCTGAAGATCTGGGTGCAGGCTTGGTCTGGCTACTCCTGTGCCTCTGTCCTCAACCTGCAAAATGGGGAGATTCTGCAACTCCACCCAGCCTGTCTGCCTGCTGCTGTGAGGAGTGCTGGAGACACAGGGAGGGGAAGTTCTTTGTGAACTGACATTGCCTGTTCTCATCCCCTTCTGGAAAACTGGTGGCTGCCATGGCATGGCCATTTCATGGCTGCTGGCTTCCCTCTGTTCTCCAGATTGGGGGTGACCCTAGGACCTGGGTTTCATTACCAACAAGCCATGTGATCTTGGGTCAGTCACCTCCCTCTTCCAGGCCTTGGCGTTCTCCTCCATAAATGGATCCGTGCTGATAACCTAAGCCTCGCTGCACGCAGTGTGGCTGTTGTTGTGCTAGGAGACCCAGGCTTGGGCTGCGGCTAGGGGTGTCCCCCTGTGGGCAGAGCCCCATACCTGTTGTCACAGTAGCATCGCAACACCTCCTTATAAGCCTTGGAACCTCGGCCAAGAGGTTTCTGTGTACGCTTCTTGGTCTCTGGTGACTTCTAGGCCCATTTGACATTTCTTTGCACTTCCTGCCCACTCCTGGAGGCCCCTGATTAGTCTACTTGGTTACAAACCCATATCAGATCCCTGATATCTCCCAGCAAGCCTTGCACAAGGCATGTGCCTTTAAGTGATGCTCGTGGCTCTTTGAAATCTGGACACCAGCTGGCAGAGGGGTGGTCAGGTAGCTCGCTTTTCTGTAAGATGGGTGTATTTTGTTTTTTTTCTTTTGGAACAGATTTTGATTTTCTGATAATAGAGCCCTTGAGATAGTGAGGAGACAGTACCGGAAGCAGCACCCCCAAAGCCGTTTGAATACAATGCAAGCAGTTGAGGGGCTGAGCTACCAGCCAGTAGGAGAGAGGTTCCTGGGGGTTCAAAGAGCAGTGGGGGAAACTGAGGTACAGAGAGTACCCAGCAAGAGAATGAATGAGTGGCAGGTCCAAGCTTCAGATAATTATTATTCTTTCTACCACCCCCCCCACCCCCAACACACACACACACACACACACACACACACACACACACACATATTCAGGGGATGCTTTAGGTTCTCTGCACTGTGCCATGCAGTTTATGTGCATTATCTCATTTACTGTTCTGAAGAACCCTACGCGGGAAGGACTGCTGTACCCCAGTTTTATTTTATTTATTTATTTATTTATTTATTTATTTATTTATTTATTTATTTATTTATTTTGAGACAGAGTCTCACTCTGTTGCCCAGGCTGGAGTGCAGTAGCGTGATCTCAGCTCACTGCAATCCTGCCTCCTGGGTTCAAGCGATTCTCCGGCCTCAGCCTCCCGAGTAACTGGGATTACAGGCGCCTGCCACCATGCCTGGGTAATTTTTGTATTTTTAGTAGAGATGGGGTTTCACCATGTTGGCCAGGCTGGTCTTGAACTCCTGACCTCAAGTGATCCACCCACTTTGGCCTCCCAAAGTGCTAGGATGAGAGGTGTGAGCCACCACGCCTGGCCTGTATCCCAGTTTTACACACATGCGTACGTGATGTGCTCAGAGTGATTAGGGCCACAGAGCCAGAAGGCGTTTTAGGCAGGATTTGAATGCAGGCCTGTGAGTTTAGATCCTGGCTCCCACTACCCTATGCACACCCTCCCATGCCCTTGCGTGCCTCTTCAGGGCCTCTCTCTGGGCCATCCCTGCCGCAAGCACTCTGCAGACAGACAGTCTTCCTCTTTCTAGGAGGTGTGGGTGCAGAGGACTTTGTGTATTGGGGAGATAAAAGAGCCCGTTTGGGATGATTTTTATCAGCTCGAGCAAGTCGGTTTGACTTACAGGAAGAAGCCAATTTGCATTTTGGGAAAGAGCTGAGTGTAAAGGCCGCAGTGAGCACTGGGTGGATTTATAAATAAACAGTCGACCGAGGGCATTGTATGTCCCCAGCTGTACAATGCTGGGTTCATATTGACACCACAGACCTGTTCCACACGTCACAGCTGCCCTTTGGACAGAAAGGGCCTAATTGAGTAAGAGAGCGCTGCTGCTGGAAATGCCAAGGAACCCTTCCTCCGACCTGGCTTCCTCGGCACAAGCGAGCCGGGTGAGTCCGGCTGCAGCCGGGCCTGTTTACCGAGGCTGCTGGCATTGCATGCCAGGTGCAGAGCCCACGGGCGACTCAGAAGGCCACGAACGCTGGGGCCAAGGCGGCCTCTGCTCTCCCTGCAACCCGGAGGGAGCTGGAGCCAGAGCCAGATCTCAGGAAACTGGGGTCATTGCATAGAGGCTGCCAGACAGTCTGCAGAGCTCAGCGGCCTGGGTTCAAACCTTCTCGCACACTGCCACTGTCGGTTACTTTGGCTTTCTAGAGCCAGATTCCTTGGCCATGAAATGGGTACTGCTTACTTCCCAGGTTATTTTGAGAATGAAGTGAGATGAAGTCAACAGTAGATGTATCTGTCCGTTGTCCCTGCCCTGCTGTGGGATGACAGAGTGATTTTGGACAAGACCAAGGCCTCGCTGGGCATCACTGTCTTCTTCAGAAAGCAATGGGGCTAGGCCAGGTGCACAGTGGCTCACGCCTCTAATCCCTGCACTTTGGGAGGCCAAGGTGAGCGGATCGCTTGAGCTCAGGAGTTCGAGACTAGCCTGGGCAACACAGTGAAACC
Source organism: Homo sapiens (assembly GCF_000001405.40). NCBI lineage: Eukaryota > Metazoa > Chordata > Mammalia > Primates > Hominidae > Homo > Homo sapiens. Next base: position 79,094,776 of record NC_000010.11, read on the forward strand.
CTGTCTTTACCAGAAATACAAAAACTAGCTGAGCATGGTGGTGTGCACCTTTAGTCCCAGCTACTGGGGAGGCTGAGATGAGAAGATTGCTTGAGCCCAGGAGGTCGAGGCTGTAGTGAGCCACAGTTGCGCCACTGCAGTCCAGCCTGTGTGACAGAGCAAGACCCTGCCCCTCCTGGAAAAAAAAAAAAAAAGAGAGAGAGAGAAAGCAAGCAAGCAGTGGCGCTGGATGCTGATCAGAGGCCTGGGGCCCTTGGACCAGAGAGGGCTGTCCCTGCCCAGCTGGCTACAGGAGCTCTGACTCTCAGACCAGCCTAGGTTCATATCCTGTGTCTTCCACTTGTGGGACCTTGGGCATTTGACTTCCTCTCAGGACCTCAGTTTTCATGGGTAGAAAGTGGGAACGATTAAGGTTGTTGGAAAGACAAAATATGCTCATGTACACTTAGTGCTCAGCATAGGGCTGGCCACATGGTGAATGCTCATAAATCAGTCATGTCTATAACATACATTTCAAGGGAAAAACATCTGTTTTGAGGGCAGAACGCTATCAAGTCAAATATTTTCCTGATTTAATTTCAATAGTACTGTTATAAAAAACAATAACCATGATACCGATAGTTAGAAGACCGCCCCTTCCAGGCCCACTTCTTTACCCCTTTGCTTTTTGGCAATAACCCTTGTGCAGAGCCAACCCCATTCTCCTGACCTAACCAGTTCTCACCTGGCCATGCGGCCTTTCCGGGTGTCAGGCAGGTCTCTCCGGTTAGGTAAGGGAGGCCTCATCCTTCTTACCTGACTGCTCTGAGTGCAGATCTATGCTGCTTCCCATCTTCTCCAGGCGCCTGATCTATTACCTTGGGCTTGGAACGCACCTAACAAAGGCTACCGTGAGGAGGCCCCTCGGTACCTGTTCATCTGGACACATCGTGCAGACCCCCGCACCCCGTGTGGCTCCCGGTTAATCTTCAGGGTGCAATCAATTTCTTCCTCAGAGGCCAGACTTCATTGTTCTAAGCCTTTCTCAGATCCACATCTTGGGGCTGCTGGGGTCCCTGCATCTGTGTCCTGGTGGTCAGTTTGAAGCACCAGCAGACAGCAGCGCTAAAGGCACCTTGTGTGTACTACGTGTGGCCATCTAGGGATGTCTCCTCTGTTGCTGAACCTGCAGATCCCCGTGAGGCAGGTGGGGCCACAGGCCTCTCCCCTCTGTTTTATAGGGGAGGTAATTGAGCAGAACTTAGGACAGTTACATGCTTTGCTTCAGTTGCGGGGCTGGGATTTGGACCTGGCTCCTGGCCTGACACAGGTCCTCAGCTTCCACCAGCCTTGCTGCCTCTGAAGGTTGCTGGAGAAAGGAAGCTGAATGTAGAGGGTGGGTCTGGAGGAGAGGGGGAGGAGATGAGCCCAGAAGGACAAATGTTTGCACAAGGAGTTAGAAATGAGATGTCTAGGCTGGGCACGGTGGCTCACGCCTGTAATACCAGCACTTTGGGAGGCCGAGACAGGCGGATCACAAGGTCAGGAGATCGAGACCATCCTGGCTAACACGGTGAAACCCTGTCTCTACTAAAAAATACAAAAAAATTAGCCAGGTGTGGTGGTGGGCACCTGTGGTCCCAGCTACTAGGGAGGCTGAGGCAGGAGAATGGCGTGAACCCGGGAGGCGGAGCTTGCAGTGAGCCGAGATTGCGCCACTGCACTCCAGCCTGGGCGACAGAGTGAGACTCCGTCTCAAAAGAAAAGAAAAGAAAAGAAAAGAAATGAGACGGCTTCAAAGAACCTCCAGCACGTGGAGGTGAGGGGTGGGAAGGGCTCTGAAACCATTGGCCGTTTTCTTGAGTGCTTCTTGACCCGAAACGCTGCCTTGAGGGGTTGATAGAGACTGGCTCCTTCAGTCAATGCCTGCTTTCAGACCTGGATGTGGGGGCCTGCTGGGTGCCAGCCCCCTGCTAGGCTCTGGGAATAGGACAATGGCCAGAACAGATAAGATCCCTGTCTGCTGGGAGCCAAAGAGAGAAACCAGGTAAACAAGACAATCACAATCAAGGACACCTTTATAAATTATGATAAGCACCAAGAAAGAAACAAACAGGGTGCTGAATAGAAAACCACCCAGAGGTGAGTGTGGGGGCCTTGAGACAGGAAGGCCTTTCTGAGGAGGGCCGTGAGATGATGGGGTGGGAAAAGAGAGCACACAGGCAGAGGAAACAGCGTGTGCAAAGGCTAGAGACAGAGAGGGGTCCCATGTGGCTCGGGGATGACCGGCAGGGGCAGAGCAGCTGAAACACGGTGGGCACCATGCATATCTTCCAGCTCCACTTGCCCCCGGGTCGCCAGCAGTGCTGCCAGCCTGCTGTGGGCATGGGCTCAGGTGTGGACATGCCTGTATCTGCTGGGGGGTCCCACATGGTGCTGGCTCCCTGCCTCAGCCAAGAGGCACATGACACATGACATCACTGGCTATTTCTGCCTCCCACCGGCCACCTCCATCTTTGCAGCATGAAGGGAGGCCTGGCCTGAGCCCTTAACTGGTCCCCTGGCTTGGCTGTCTGCCACTGAATATCACCTGCTATTTCAGTGACCATCCTGCTGTCATAGAGGGCAGAGGAGGCTGAGGGGTGCAAGGGCTGTCACCAGGGGTCCCCGGACAAGCCCAGGTTCTTCCGCCTAGGGTCAGCCCTGGCCCTGCAACCTTTGTTTATTTACTTTGGGCCTTGCTCAAAACTAGTAGCAAGCTGCCTGGAATGCAATGTGACGAACTCGAGATAATAATAAAATCAATTGGACTGTTTCCCCAGTAATTCTAGAGACTGATGCATCATTAATGTTGGTAATACAGTGCCTGTCAGATCACAAACTTCTCAATAAATGTGCAGCTGGCAAGCTCTGATAGAAATTGGAGGCAAGCAGAGAATGAGATTTGGGGCCTTTGATATATGGGGTGTCAGTGGCGCAGTGAAGTTTTTATCAATTTCTGTCACTTTGGGCTTTTGTGCTCACAGCATATGTGGTCTTCATGGCACCTCTCTGTGGGCTGCTTGGATGCTAACTGCACCCCCCCACCCAACAGTGTGAGGAAGAGGAGTTCCTGGAGAGGCCTCAGCAGCACTGGTGCCCTTCTGTGCAGCTTCATTACCAGGGGCTTCTCAGGCAGACGTAGACGGGCAAAGCCTTTGGACTTGACTCTGTGGATCACTCAGGCACTCTCCAAGCATTGATTGAGTCCCTGTTGGATTCAAGATGCCACTGGGCCCTCGGAGGCCTTTGGAGGCTCTGGAGGACTTGATGGAAGTCTGGGGCTTGGGGTTGTGGGGAATGGTCAAATGATCATTCCTACCTAAGGGTCAGGAGAAAATGGAAGCAGTGTGTGAGCTAGCCTGGAAGTGTCTTGCCAGGTAGACTAGGAGAAGAGACTATTAGACTGGGGAGCTCTGTGGGCCCAGGCCCTGAAGCATGATGAATCCTGGAGTTTATGCGGGAGTGAGGACTTTGGCCAGGCCAGGCCCCAGCGGCATTGGAGAGAAGGCAGAAGCTGCCTGGAGGCAGTGTAGTGTGGTGGTTAGCACAAGCACTCTGGAGCTAGACAGGCAGGCTCCGAATCCTAGCTCCCACACTTAGCAGCTGGGCAACCTCAGGGAAGTGACTCGACCGCTCTGTGCCTCAGTTTCCTCACCTGTAAAATGGAGGTGGTGATAGTTGACCACCTATCTCGAAGGACTCTAGCGAGCATAAATGAATTAATACTTGTATGAGTGCCTGGTCCATTGCAAGCACCTGATAAGTAATTGGCATTACTTTTGCATAATGAGCTCAGTGAACCCACCAGTCACCTGAAAGCCATACAGTGAGATTCAGAGAGTTGAAGTGGGGCATCCGCACTCATACAGCCGCCCAGAAGCAGAACTGAGATTTGAGTGCAGGTGATCTCAAAACCTGCGTCTCTAAGCTGCTGCTGAGGCTGCGGTTGAGAAGCGTGGGCCTTGGGTGCCCAGGTGGAGGAGGTGGCATGCGGCTGGGGGCCCAGCACCCTACCGAGGACAGGCCTGTGAGGTCACCGTCATTAGCAAGGAGATTGGGTGGGCAGTGAGTCAGCTCAGGCTTCATTTGTCAGTAGCCCTCTGGAGCTGGAGAACTTCTGAGACTGGGGACTTGACTGTGGTGCAGACGTCTGCATTGGCCCCTGGAGGCTGGAAGTGGCTTTGAGTAGCAGAGGAGCCAAATGGGAACCATGTTGGCGGCAGATTCCAGAAGTGAGTCAGAATTTCAATGTTCCCAGCTCATCTGCTTGAGAGCAGGTCCTGAGACCCAGCAAGGCCTGCACCCCCTCCTCGACACCCACCCACCCTAGAGCACCACAGTGTCTGCAAACCAGAGCGGAGGGTCCCTAGGCTGTGGGGGTGACTTGGGTGTGCGCACATTCTGATGCAGCTATCACTGTGGTGCACCTGCTGGGGACCCACCGTGAGGCCCCGGGAGTCGGTGTGCTGGTGCTGGATACCAGCGCTCCTTGAGAGTGCCCTGGGCACAGGGACCCCATGCTCCCATGAGCAGGGGTGCTCCTGGCCCTTCCCCAGGCTGCCTTTGAAAAGGTCCTTCCCCCTCCCCATGGCTCCACACAACACCAGGATGTACTCCTGGCTGGTTCTGCATCTGTGTTTGCCTTTAAAAAAGGTGGGTTGCAAGGCCCCCCAGGGCCTCAGGAAAGAAGAAGCAATCTTGTTAGACTGGCGTGTGGAAGACAGAGGGGCCTGTGCTGCACTGGGAACAGGGAGCGGTGGCCTCTGGGCCCAGGTCTGCCCCCATCCCCTCCCCGGCTCCCTTCAAACCTCCCTGAGCCTCCATGCCCTGCTTGGGACGTCCCAGTGTGGAGCCCAAGTCCCTGCACTTGTTGGGTGGTGGAGGATAGCTGGTCCTGCATTTCCCAGGTGATGTGCCTGGGAAGCATCTCTCCATAAACCCCCTGTGACTTGGGCTTGGAGGAAGTGTCCCTTCCTGCCAGAGGAGCGGGGGCTGGGTGAAGCATTGAGAGGAGCTACAGGTGCATTTGAAAAAGCAGGTAGGTCTTCTTTTTACCACCTGGAGGTCCTGGTTATGGGGGCAGGTAGGAGCACGGTGCTGACATGGTCCTAACCGGTGTGGTTCCCATCACTACTGCTTGTATGACCCGAACAAGTCTCCAGCCACTCTGAATGTCACTTATCACCACAGTGCAGGTCCTCATGCCCACCTGACCTGGGGTGTAATGGACCACACACCCTGATGCTCAGAGCACATCTCTTGTTGAATGCTAGGCCCTGGATGACTGGTCCTGGCCCAACCCCAGGAGTTTAGAGCCTCACTAGGGAACAAGACTGGGCATGTACTACCTGTAGCATGAGGGGCTGGTGGCTGTGAACAAGAGCCCTGCTGAGGGGAGCCCCAGGGGGACAGGTTCAGGTCAGCCTACTAGGGGAGGGCATTCAAGGAGGGCCTCCCAGAGGAGGTGGCCTTTGTGCTTCAGCCCAAAGGATGAGTTGGGGAATGCTCAGCAGAAAGAGGCAGGTGAGGGCTGGGCATGGTGGCTTATGCCTGTAATCCAGCACTTTGGGAGGTCAAGGTGGGAGAATTGCTAGAGCCCAGGAATTCAAGAACATCCTGGGCAACATAGACACCATCTCTGAAAAAAAAAAAAAAAAAAGAGGGCAGGTGAGGTTATCAGGCCTGGGTGGGTGGGAGGCAAAGCCTGGGAGCTCAGTGGGGGCCTGATCACATCCCAGAGGGCCTTGAATGCCGAATGGAGTTTATCCTTGACTCAGGGTCAACAAGGAAACATTGTGGGGTGAAGAGTGCTGTCCTCAGATCTGATTTGCAGACCAGTAGCTGCAGTGGCTGCTTGGAGGATGTTCTCACAGGGGTCCCATGATCCCTGCTGCGTTCCAGGAGAGAGGGCATGAGGCTCATTGCTGGCAGGGGCCTGGGTATGGGCCAAACAGTGCTGCAGATATCATGTGGCTGGTAGGGGGTGAGGATGGTGGTCATCGGGGGCACTGGGTGCTGTGGTATCTGAAGGGAGTGATTTCCAAGTGCCGTGAGGGTGCCCTTGGCCCTCAGGGCTTTTGCACACAGCATCCCTGGGTGCCTGCTAAACGTGCAGATGCTGTTCTCACCCCAGCACAGCTGGGCCAGGTGCATTTAGAAACCTGGCTGAAAACTGCAGGTCTGATGAGGAGCACAAAGGTCGGGTCCCTAGAGAACAGGAGCCTTTGAAGGAAGAGGGTGGAGCTGATTGCAGACTGCCGAATCTTGAAGGGGTCCACAGAGGGGCTGCAGGGTGTGGACTTGGCTGCAGCAAGGAGAGAGGAGGACCAAGCTCTCCCCTTGATGAGTAATTCAGCATACAGTTGAAGCTCTTTGCAGTAGGTGTGAGGAAGGCAAGATCTTGGCACTGGGGATGCTACTGATTGTCTAATGGAAGGGGTTCTCAGCACAGGCAAAGGGCTGAGCTCACTGTGCTGGTGAAGGGGGCAACTGAGTAAGTCCTCTAGGATGAGGGGGAAGTTCCTAGTCTGGAAGTGAGGGAAAAACATCTGAGGCAGAGGGAACAGCATATGCAAAGGCTCAGAGTGCTGGGGGGATGCTGTCAGAGGGGCACAGCTCTTGAAGCCAGGCCAGCAGGGATGGACTTTGTTCCTGTCTAGGGGCAGCAAGTCAGCCAGGCTTTCTTCTCTCAAGTCAGAGAAGAAAGGCCAGGGCTACTGGATCCTGGAATGTGTGAGGTCCTTGGCCCAGTGGATGTCTGGTGGCCTTGGTGTATCTTATTGGCACGGCCACGTTCACAGGACCCGTGGGGTCAGGGGAGGGCCTACTTGTGCAGAGGGAGGGGTAGTCTCTAGGTAGGCAACTGGCACCTGCCTCCATCTGGGTGAACCAGGGCAGGGAGGGAGGGAGGCGGGTGGCCAGGTGACGGCCGTCCTGGCAGGTGCGTTCCATCATCTGCCATGAAGACAGCCGTGGGGCCTCAGGGGCTGGAGCTGTTTCTCACACTGTCCCCGACCATAAACACACACACTGAGATTCCACCGTTGTCCCTCCCCTCTCTGAGGATGTGATGTGAGGAGCAGCTGTCAATTACCATCAGCTGCCACAATGCAGGGAGGCAGCTGAGGACCAGATAGAGCAGGAGTGGCCAGCTCCAGGTCACACGGCAAGTGGGACCTCCGACCAGCTCCCAGCCTCCCCATGGCACCAGGGACCTCACGTGGGTCAGGATCTCTCCACCTTCTCTGTAACTCTGGCTCCTGCTCTCAAGGAGGAAGAGCTGTCCCCTAGCAATAAGCTCTTCCCATCTGGAGTCACCAGCTTGTTCAGCTTTTCCTCACCTCCCTCCACCTACAAACAACCCAAGGGAACAAACCCAGAAAGCCAGGTCCCAGCCTGTTGGACCAGGCCTCGCCCAGTTGGAGCAGAAGGCGTGCAGTGGGGAACGCAGCCTGTAGCCCCTCTCACAGGGAGGCAGAAATCCCGGCTCTGGAAGTGTATAAACACGGTTATTTTTAGCCTTCAGAGGGCTGTGGGCGCAGCAGCGTGACCTGAATCTGGCTCAGCCCCCTCCTTCTGCCCCACCCGGGAGAGAAGGCCTCCTTTGCCCCGCCCTCTGCTCCATCAGCCTCAGGGCTGGGCCAGTGAATTCCAGGATCCAGGGAGAGAAAGAAATGGGTGTGTGTGGGGGTCTCAGCAAGGCTGCCCAGGGCCAGGAGCTGAGGGGGGACAGGATGTGGTTTTCAAAGAGGCAGCATTTCAAGTTGCAACAGAAATATTGGAGCCACCCAATTTCATGACTTTTCCATGGGTTCTTACTCCCTAATCCTGGTCCCTTCCCTGGTCTGGCTGGAGGCGAGTCCCAGGCGCCACCTGGGAAGCAGTGCTGGCCTAGCACCAGGCGGCCTTGCTGCTGCTTTGCTGCCGTAGGCTACCAGGCCCACATAGCACCTCTCCGCGGCTCAGTGCCCTCATCTGAGAAGTGGGATCATTCCCAACCTGGCTGGCAGGGAGTTGAGGGGGTGATGGTGAGCTGACAGAATCGTAGCTGTTCACTCACTTGTTCATTCAACCAACACTTATTAAATGTTAGTTTTATGCCAGCCAGTGATCTAAACATTGGATAGAAAGCAGGAAACCAGCTTGAGGAGGTGCTGACCCTCCTGGGGCTAACATCATTGAGCAGGGCTGGGGAACACAGAAGGACAGTAATCAGCTCGTAGTACGTGCAGTACAGTAGTAATGTCGAGCGATGTGTTACGGAGCGGCTGGGGTGGGGGAGGCGGCATGTATTTTAGATGAGGGCAGTCTGGGAGGACCCCTTGAGAAACTGTAAAACAGCCAGCCACTGTAGGTGGAGGAGGTGGTGAGCGGGAACAGCAGGTGCAAAGGCCCAGGGGTAGGAATATGCTTGGTGCCCGAGAACTGAGGACATGGGGAAACCGTGAGGGGGAGCGAGCAGAGCCAGCTGCACGGGGCTCGAGGGCCGTGGGGATGCCTGGGGTGGGGGGCTGTAAACAGGAAAAGCTTTACAGCTGTAAGGAAGAGCAGGAAGGAAGTGAGAGTGGGAGGCCAAGGAGGGGCTGTTGCCCCCACCCAGGCAAAGGAGCTGGCGAGGAGTGGGCAGATCCGCACGCGGGGAGGGTGAACGGTGGAAATGGCAGATGGCTTGGTTGAGGGGGAGCGTCAGAAACCAGGATGGTTCCTTGACTTTTGGATTTGATGCCTGGGTGGGTGGGGGTGGAGAGGGCATTTGATCCAAAAGGAGGGCGGAGGGAGAACAGGATCTAGGGGAGGGAGGGCAAGGGGTGATGCCAACCTGGACACAGGTTTTCGGTGTCTGTTGACATCGGAGTGGAGAGGGGAGCCCTGGGGGAGCAGCTGCATGGGGCACACCAGGCCCCAGGCTGGCAAGCCCTCCTCCCTGGGGCTCTTTGCCAGCCCGGAGCCAGGCTGTGTGGGCGAGTGCTTCCCTGGGGGCCTGGCCTGGGGTTTTGTCCCATTGCATCATGGATGAGGACCTTCCGGTCCCCTGGCTTGGAGGCAGACGTAGGTGGAGGTGCAGAGTGGTCCACGGCTCTGCCCAAAAGGCTGGACAAGTTGGAAGGTGGTCTGTCATTCAAGCACCATTTGCCATTGGCTGGATGCGAGCCCTGGTGTCACTACCAACCTTGTTCCCAGCTGGGCTGACTTCTTACTATGAACTAGCAACTATGAACTAGTCCTGCCACTCCTGTGCCTGGACTGGGATGGGAAGGACAGCAGGAGTAGCAACATGCTCTGGAATTTTTCACAGCAGACCTGGTTCACTTTCATCTGGTCACCAGACAATGTAGTGACCCCTCCCCTCTCTGGGCCTCAGAATCCCACCTGAGACCCCAGGATGGAGTAGAAGGTCTTCAGGGTCTCCGTGTGAAACACAGCCTTTCGATGACGGAGATTTGGTATTGAGAGGGTCATGGCGTGAGTAAAGGCCTGGAGGCTGGTCTAGGGAGTCACCTTGCAGGATCTTGGGGAGCGGATGAGTATAGAGTCCGCGTGCATAGAAGCCATGTGCAGGGTGGTCACTGGAGGTGAGGTGGGAACACCAGGCTGCCTGGTTGGGTCAGAGGGACCAGATTACCATATAAGCCATTGTGCTCTCAGGATAATCTCCTGGCTTGTTAAAGCCTCAGTTTTGTCATCTGCAAAATGGGTACAATAGACGTCACTGAGCTTGCAGGGGTGAATACCCACCAAGGTACAGAGATGGGCCAACTCAGTGCCTGGTCGTAGGATGTCTTTGATTTCCAGAGGTTGCCTTCTTTCCCTGTCTTTCTCCAGTTTGTAGCCAGAATCCAAATTTCAGGGGAGGGCTCTTTTGCTGTTGGGGCTTCCTGTGAGAGCCACAGCCCTGGGCCTGGGAGTCCTGCCAAACCCAACTCTGGAGGCCGTGAACCTCACCGTAGCCTTGGGGACTGGCCCGCTGGCCACGGCACTCTGAGCATCAGCCTTAGGTACTGCTAGTAGGAGGTGCACTGGGGTTTTAACCAGAGGCAGTAATGAGCTTTCTGAAATCATGCCAGCTTCATGTTTTGTTTCTCAAAGAAACGATGGGCCTTGATTTCCTATCAGCATTGATGTGGTTGCTGTTGTTGTTGGGTTGTTGTTGTGGGGTGTGTGTGTGTGTGTGTGTGTGTGTGTGTGTGTGTGTGTGTGTCTTAACTGCCATGGGTTTTAAAGCCATGGTGGAAAGTGAGGAAAATAGCAGATGCTAGATCCAATTGCCACCAAACTGTCTTGAAATGCTATAAATATTTTCTAAAAAGACTAGCTTCCCGAGCCCAATGTGTTAGTTGTCTCCTCCCTGAGAAACTGATTCCCGAAAATTTAGACAAATAACCTCTTAAATCACAGCTGTTAACCTCGGGTGTAAAAACTGCTACCACACCAGCCGCAGGTCACAGCGACTCTGCTCTGCCTAAGTGCCTCCGTGTGGCATAGAGAAGGTGGTGGCAGAGAAGAGAGATCTTGTGCTTAGGCAAGAGACCAGGGTCGGAAGCCGGGCTTGGCCACTGACTGCTGTGTGACCTGGGGCCATTGGCCCACCTCTCTGAGCCTCTTCTGTGTAACAGACCTGTTACAGGCTGCCTCGATCCTGAGAGTGCCACTGAACTGAGCTTCTTTCTGCTCCTCAAAGGTAAACAAAAGTGACCGTTGGCATTCAGGAGTTCATGTTAATCAGGACTGAGAAAACCCCTCCGCCCCTAGTCCCCTTTAGCCCTCTGACTGTGTCAAGGACAGCTGCCAGTGACTGGATACTTGCTGGTGTCTCTTTTCAACAGAGAGCACCTGCAGGACCCGGAGCCTCCAGCAGGCAGGCAGCAAAACAGTGCCATTGTTTGTTCTCCTTGTATTTGTTTTTGTGTTTAACTTCTATCCTTGGTGAGTAAGGCTAATTTTGTATTTAAGGTAGTAATATAAAGTTCTTTTAAAAATAAAAGTATTTATGCAAAAGTTGTGAATTGATTATTAAGCTAATGGCAGTTTCGATGGCAGAAGGAAATGACAAACATCAGGAAGATGGGAGGAAATGTGACGGACTCTGCACACTGTCCAGGTTGCCCTTCCCCTAAGTGCTCACCAACTTCTGTGCCCTTGTAGAAGGAATGAGTGGGGAGGGGTTGCTGGAGGGACGTTCTGGTAAATTGTCTTCCAATTGCACAATACCCAGAGGTGACCACCACACTCCCTAAGACGGTGGGGCTACAGAAAGCCCCATTCTGGCATCCGGGCCAAGGAAACCACTCTCGTGGAGAGTCTTGGCCAAGAAGCTGGGATTCTGTAGCAAAACCAAATCCCCCCACCCCCAGGCCCTCTGTGCCTCTCCATTGAAGTTCCCAAACTGAGGGTCTAAGCTTGACACCATCTGGCTGCTCTCTCCTAGGCCAGAGACCAAGACCAGGCCCTAGCTCTCCCAGATGTGGCTGAACCCAGCAGAATGTAGTAGTTGCTCCACTAACAGGGACATCAAGTGCTGTAGGTTTTGTCTTATGCTCTGCCTGAGAGTGACAGCCTGGAGTGCTATACAGAATAGCAATTCTGAGGCTACAAGGAGCTCTGTAAGAGAGCATGGGGACCAATTGGTAATGCCTGCCATGGGTGTGGGAAGGAAGCCTGGGGGTACACAGGCCTTTATTTGTGACTCATATGCTCCCCCAAGCCTGTGGCTAGATCCTGCCCCCATTGCATCGCCAGCACCCAGCTTGGCGATCAGTGGGTGATTGAGCCCAGAAGCTCCTATAAGAACTTAGCAGATGCTCCTTGGCCGGTCTTTGCCCGTTGTGCAAGGGGACATCCCCCAACCACATTGCAGGCCCTGGAGGGTCAACACTCAGCCCTTGAGTTTAGGAAGCTCTTGTTCATTCCATACCCACTCCCTGCTAGGGCTGGATATGGGGTAGGTACCCAGGAAGTGTGTTGATGAGACCCAAGAATGATCGACAAATGGGACTGGAGAGGTGGTTCGGCCTGGCTTGGCGGCAGTCCATGTAACACTACCTCACTACAGGCATCGTGCAGGTGGCCGAGTGCCCCAGATTTTCTAGGACAGCCCTGGTTTCAGATCCTTCATCTATTGTTCTTGAGTGCCCCTGCCTGAACAGGCATTTGGGCTCCGCTTTGGAAGTCCTGGCTGCTGTGGATATAGCCCTCATGATCATGCTTTTTGATCATTTTCAGAGCACTCACTCTTCCATTGCCTTTGCATCTGGCCAGGGGATGGAGCAGCCCCATTTGCTCACTTTTTTCAGGTGAGGAAATTGAAGGCCAGAGTGAGCAAGTGACTGGCTTGCGGCCACACAGCCAGTTAATGCAGACATCTGGCCTGAACCTGTGATACCCATCTTCTGGCCACTTCACTGTCCACTTACAAAGCCCAGAACTTTCTGCATCCTGCTATTTAAGCCTCATTCATTCAGTCAGCTTTTGTAGCCTAGCGGGTTAGACCTCAGGAGTCAAACAGCATGCTTTGCATTTGAACTACTTCTGGCCGTGTGACTTTTGGTGAGTTCCTTTCTCTCTCTGTGCCTCAGTTTCTTCATTGATAAAAGGGGTGTAGACACCACACGGGGCTCTTGTGAGTATTACTGGGTTAACAGTGTCTGTCTCAGGGTGAGGGTTCTGTGGGGCCCGCCAGTGGTGTTCACAGAGGTGGATTGATCAGAGTTGCTCACAGTCTGGTGAATGTGAGGTGGGAGGCAGATGTGTTCACCACGAAAGAGCGTTCAAGTGGATGGGTGAGGTCAGAGGTGCACTGGGCACCACCGGGCGGTGGGAGGAGGGACCGTCTCCATTGCTCCCACACTACTCGGAGGCATTCAGAAAGGCTCCTCCGTTGATGGACGCTACTTGGAGCAGGGCTTGCAGGGGGCAGGGAGGGCACTGGCCTGATCCTGGCAGATAGCAACCTCCAAAACTTCTCTGGACAGAGGATGGCACTCATGCCTACCGCCTCACTACCTCCAGCAGCTGGAGCTTCTGGGCTCTGCTGTAGGGTGGAGGTGGGGTTGAGAAGAGGTGAAAAGACCCAGTTGCTTTGTCCCAGGGGCAGGCACAGAGTCCTGCCTGAGGGCCCTGGCATGGGGTAATTGTCTATTGTTCATCGTCTGGTAAGCCAGCTCCCCACCTTCTTTCTGCCTGCCTGCCTTTCTGTCCTTCCTCTCAGCATCTGTCTATGCAATATAAAGAGCCCCTCCCAACACAGTCACCAGTGATCTGCTTCCAGGCTAGTGTTGACATCCCAGCCCACCCGGAGACCCATTTATTCTGCCACTGGGGCACAGGGCCCAGTTTTAATCATCCTCGCTCCACTGTGAGATACAGATGGTTGTATTATTAATAGTCATAATTAATCAGCATCCACAGAGGAGCTTTTCCCTAGGCAGCAGATCCTCAGGACGAGCAGCCCTGGGAGGTCCCATTCCAGTCCCCCTTTACAGACAGGGGAAGTGAGGCTGGGAGAAGGGGTGGTGGGACTCATCCGAGGTGGAGCTAGGTATGGACCCCAGCTCAGATCTCAGATCTGATAACCACCTGCAGTGTTACTGTCTGGGAATGGACTGTTCACCCCACCCACCCATACCTAGGTCCTAGGGTGCCAATTGCTGGGAGAAGCTTTCAGCACTGGGGATGGGAGGGTGGTGCTCAGGCTGATGGTGCACTTTGAGATCTCAGGCTGAGAGTGAAGGAAGAAAGGTGGGATGGGGAAGAAAGGCCTGAGGGAGGCCGGACATATTGGGCTAGCAGGACAGGGGGCCTGATTGGGGTAAGGGTGGGGAGGTGGCCTTGGGTAGAAGGAAAGCCAAATACCAACCATCACCCCCTAATACACACAGATCGTGGGTCAGGGCCTGAGGTTGGCTGCTTCTCTGTTCTAAGCTCTGCATCCCAGGGACAGTGATATAAATGCTTACAGCAGGCAGCATCCTGATTTATGGGGCTGTTTTGGACGGGCCTAACTACATCAGCACAGAGGCAGTGAGGGGCTTCTTGCACAATTCTGCAAGCCCACCTTCTCCCCTGCCTGGCTCCTGGGGCTGACCACCACCGAGGCCCCTGTGCATGCATGTGCACATGCATGCACCCAGACCCACGCCTGAGTGGGCACACCCAGGCCCACGTGCTCTGTGTGCACCTGAGGCTGTCCACATCCCTGCCCACAGCCCATAAACTGTGTTAGCCCAGCACGCAGGTGTGTGCTGCTTTGGGCCTGTGCGCAGATGAACACAGGTGTGCCCAGGTGCACACATGTGTGTGTCTGCCTGCACTCTGCAGGCATCCATGTGCCTATGTCCTCTGGGCTGCCTCTCTCTGTGTTGATCTGTTCGTGGCTCTGGGAGGTGGATGTCTGTTCGCTGTCCTGTGTGTGTCCCAGTGTGGATGTGCATTGGTGAGGGGTGTACATGCCTCTGTGCAAGTGCGCCTGTGTGCATGGGTCTGTGTGCACACATGTGTGGGCATGCAACTGCCGCCTCATCCTGTCTTTTTCATTATGGGTGTTGTCCACACTCACATCCTTGCGTGCAACACACACCCGGTGCCCAGCGTGGCTGGGCTGCCCCCGCCTGATCATTAGGCTCATGGATAAGACTCTCTGTCATCGTAAATGAGTATAGAGTGCCCCAGTCCAGGAGTCCTGAAGGAACTGGGGAGGTAGCCTCATCTGTCCTCAGCATCTCCACCCCACCTCCATATGGATGGTGCTGGAGAGGGGAGGCTGGGAGGGAGGGATGTGGTGCCCACTCCCAGGCCCCCACACTGGGTTCCTGATCCACCCTTTGTTTCTCCCCACCATGCCTATGCACTCGCCCATATTCTGTGCCAGACCTTGAGGACAGCCCCGGGTCGTGGGAGAAGCCCAGTCAAGAGTCAGGCAGCCAGGTGCACAAACCCAGGCTCTGTTGCCAGCATGTGGCCCTAGACAGCCCCTCTGCCTCTCCCATCATCACTGTTTTCCCACCTGCAAAATGGTCTTAGCAATGGCCACCTCATGGGGTTATTGTGAGGACAAAAGGGGTGCAGAAACTGCTAGAGAAGTCAAGTTCCTTCCCCCAGCAGACCTCAGTCTCCCCATCTGTAAGATGGCAATAATGACCCTCACCAGTGGTCTCATGGAGTGTTTTGAAGGTCAGATGAGAAAAAGGTTCAGTGAAGGCTGCAGGGTGGTACCCATAGGACTTGTTCCAGCTGTGAGCAAAGGAGATGAGGGGTGCTAGGCACTTGGGGGTGGCATGCATGGCCTGGGCCAGATGCCTGCATCCAAACCCCCATGCTGCCACCCTCTGGCCTTGGGATGTGGGAAGGTTACTTCATCCTCATCTGCATCTCTATTATCCTTAGATTCCTCATCTTTCCAGCAGGCATGTTCGTAGTAGTATCCATCTCCTGGCATGTTGGGAGAATTCAGGAGAAATGAGTGTGGAGCTTAGCACAGAGCTTGACACAAAGCAGCTGCTCAAATCAGCGGTATTTGTTATTCTTGTTTTTGGCCTTATTGCGATACCGGTGGCCACTCGGTCTGGAAGGACAGGTGAATGCATGGCGGATGGTGCATTAATACCACACTAGGATACCTATTAATGAGGTTTAATCTGTGTTTCCAGACTTGATGTCCATCCGTCCCACCGAAGAAGAGTTCAAGCTTTTCTTCCAGGGAACTGAGAGGGCCATGCTGAAACTGGAAGCCTCAGCCTGCAAGAGGTGCCCTGGGGAAGGAGGTAGTTGGTACTGATGTTGGCCGACTACAAAGGAGCTGGCTCCTGGGACTCTGAATGCTGTGCCCTCTGCAGCCACCCAGCCCCACAATGGGAAGCCAGTGGTTACATTTACCCCTGTCTCTTCTGAACCATATGGTGGCTGCACCACAGCTGGCTCAGAGGCTCTGAAAGAAGGCCCACAGGGGAACATGATGTCTTGCCTGAGCCAGGTGAGGACTGAGGCCCCCACTGCCAAGCACTGCAGTCTGGGGCTTCCATTTTCACCATAGTTCCTCTAAGCTGCCTGGAGGAAGGGCTTGAACTCATGAACTTCATGACCAATGGACCTGAAGTCTGGAAGCACAGATGATACCTCATTAACAGGTATCCCAGTGTGATATCAATACATCATCTGTCATGCACTCACCTGTGCTTCCAGATGGGGTGGCCACTGGCACCGAGGGACTCCTTGCACAGTTATGCAGATGGCTGCCAATCTACTTGCTCCCCTTGCCCAGCTCCTGGGCTGACCACCACCGGGGCCCCTGTGCATAGAGCCCATGAGCAGTCCCCATCACCTGTGGGCTTCCCAGTCTGTGCCCAACTTAATGATAGCTGTTAGGGTCCAGTAGAGGATGCAATGTCCCCATCCTAGCAGGGGCTTTACTGAAGAAACGAGGCCCTGGCACCCAGGCCAGGGCAGGGAGGAGACAGTTGGTAGACACAGCCGGGTCTGCAGGGGCTCGGAGGTCATGGGGCCCAGGTGGGCAGGCAAGGGAGGAGGCAGGCCAGGCTGGAGCCAGTCCTTGAAGGACAAAGAGGATTTAGCTCACTGGAAGGGATGGCATTCCAGAAGGACAGAAGTGTGTGGGCAAAAGTTTGGAATCATTCCCGGGGAAAGGTGTACCCTCTCCCATAAGAAGTTTGGCCTGCCCTGGACCAAAGAGCAGAGTCTTTCCTCTCGATGGCTAGTGGCTGTGGGGTGAAGCAGATGGCCAGGGGGTGTGGGTGACGGGGGAGGCGCACCCTCAGGCCTGAGCCAAGGGAAACCAAGTGGGCCCACACAGGCCAGAGCCTGAGACCTTGGCACCAGCTACTCGGAGATCTTGACTCAAGAGTTAATGATTCATTTGTGGCCAATTTTCTGCTGGCTTTGCCTGGAAATTCCCAAGCTTGCCCCTTCCCTCACCTTAGGGAGCTCCAAGAATACAGTCTCACTTACACTTGGCTGAGAACGTCTCACCCACTATCCAGGGAATGGTTTTTAAAATTACAGCAGGTGTGATGTAGGTTAGCCATTAGGAAAAGCTGATCGGGGGCTATAGGCTGGGAGCTGGGGTGGTTTGTTTGAGTGTTTGGAACAAATGTGAATAGAATTCAGTCTAGTGTAAAGTGTTGTGACAGTTACAAATTGGGAGCTACAGCTTGACCCAGAGTAGGACTTGGTTGGGCTAAAAAAGTAATGGCATAGGCAAAGGCCCTGGGGCATGAACATCCAGGGAACGCTGAGTGATTGTGGTGTGGCTGGAGTGTAGAGGGTGTGAGAGACTTCTAGAAGTGTGGACACAACTCCCAAGTGAAGGACTCTCAGGACTTGAAGATTTGGCAGTGGGACGTGCTGGCAGTGGGGAGTCAGGGCTGGTACCTGAGTAGGGGACAGGTGTGTTTGATTTGGGTTGTAGGGTCGCTTGCCCATCCCTGTCTTGATTCTGCTGGTCAGCAGACCTTCCTTGACAGCCTGCTCTGTGCCAGGTCGGACCCACGCTCTGCACGGGTCCTGCACCTGTGTGGAGGCTGAACTAAAGGGAGGGGGTTACATGTAGCAATTCAGGTGGGAGCATGGGTGTGTGCAGGAGCAGGGGAATGGCTGATGACTTCAGACCCACTCGGCTCCATCACCGAAAGTCCTTGGGTGAGCGTAGCAGAGGTGTTGGGGTAGGCTTCAGGAACCCCATGTTCCTGGCAGGCTCTGTGGACACGCCGCCTGGAAACCACTTCTGCCCTGTAATATCAGCATGGCTGAAGGGGCCTGGAATGTGTATCTGTCCTTGTACAGAGGAGGGGAGCAGACGAGGCCCAGAGAGGGGAAGGTTGATGGCAGAGCCCAGGCAGAACTCAGGGCCCAGTCTCCCAATCCTGGCTGATTGCACATATATCCCACCACCCACCCGTTCCTGCAGATCTAAGGACATTTCCCCGAAACCAGGCAAAATAGAGCAGCCTGATTGTCCATGTCAAAATGTCTGGGCATTTGGGGAGGGAGGGTTCCTTTATATCTTTCACAACTTAGCAAATTTAATTTCTTCTGATTATTTCTTGACGGTCCCAGGCGTTGGTGGTAAACAACCACACTCCCCAGAATGTTTCCCTGTGACAGCAGCTTTCTCTGGCGAGGGTGCTATCAACACTTGGCAGGGCCTCCTCCTGGCTCCTGGCTCCCAGCTCCTGAGATCGTGAGCTCCTGAGCTCCTGGGCTCTTGAGCAAGGCAGCAAGTGAGGGCTTCTCAACAGCTTTCAGCATGCAGAGCTTGCCCTGTGTACCAGGGCAAGGACAGGCCTAGCCTCTTTGTTCCCCGCAGCAGCCTGGCCTGCCTTCGGAGCCTCAGGTGGCCTCTGGTTGTGGATGGTCCCCATGCAGCGAGGCTGGGTGGTATCAGATGTCTGCTGGCTCCCACAGCTCTGGTGCCGAGGTCCTTGGCATGGCTCAGTGGCAGGAGGGAGCCTGTCTTCTGAGCAGCTCTGCCAGGACTGTCTGTGGCCGAGAGACCGGCAGCATCCTGGGCCTGCAGCCTCCATGGTCTGCGTCATACTGGCTTAGGTGTCCTGAGTCAGAGCCAGGAAATGGATCTGCCATGCGGGGGTGGAGGTGCTGCTGCCCGGGCAGCTAGGGTGAACCCCAACCTCCTGCCCGTCCACACCTGGAGGGTCCTGGCCTTGTGCTTCCTTCCCCTGGCCTGGCCTGAATGTGACTGGTGCCTGGAGGAGAGGCTGAAGTTCCAGCCTGCTCCACACTCCACTTTATGTGCCCAGGCCCCCACCCCACAGGCTGTTGTTGGCAGGGTGGGTGCTGAGACACAGGCACCACGCTATGCTGTGCTTTTGCCTGAGTTATTCTATTCCCTTTTTCTAGAATGCCCTTTCCAACTCGTTGTCTGTGTGATTTTCTGCTCCCCCTCCAAGAATTTACACAAGAATGACTTTTTTGGTGAAGGCTTCCCTGGCACCCCTACTCTGGCCAAGGCTGCCCCCCTTTCCTCTGAGCCCCCTCTCCATTGATGGCTCCTATCACAGTGTAGTATATTCACGTTTGGAGCCCGTTCACCTGTGTAGGTGCCTTGAGGCTTTTTTCTTTGTGGGTCCTACAGGCCTGATGTGTAGTATCAGCTCAATAAAAGCAGGCTGGATTTAATTAAGGGGGTTCCTGAAGGCGGTGCTGGAGTCTCCCTTTGTTAATGGTGTGGTGAAGAGGAGGCGGGAGTTTGCAAATGGAGAGAGGCTGACTTGCCTGCCGGACTCCTACCCCCGATCCCCTCTGAGGGCAGTGCTGCCCCTCTGACTGCTGGGGACTGGGGTGGCCCCCTCCATTTCTATCCAGCGGCAGACTTCCCTGCCCGGCAGGAGCTGGCTCCCCAGGTTGCCGGAGTGATCACTCTCCAGAAAACACCCCAGTGGAAACTGCATGAATGATTGATAAGAGCTGAGAGCTGTTTAATTTTTTCCCCCTGTTTAATGGCTATCAATAATTTAATACGCTCTCTGTATGTTTTTAAGAAATAGCACCCATTTCGCCGTCTCCGGTTTAGCGGGCTAAATGATTTAAGTGTTGGAAATGTGCTCTGAGGATGGAGGTTGAGTGAGTCGGAGAAATCTGGAGGCTGGGAGTGGGGGAAGGCGGGTTCAGAGCCAGCCACAGCATCTTGGCCTGGGTGTGTATGTGTGTGTGTGTCTGTGTGTGTGTGTGTGCGTGTGTGTGTGCGTGTGTGTGTGTGTGTGTGTGTGTGTGTGTGTGTGAAGGTGGGAGGGAGAAGGGAGGGAGGGAAGGGGCGGGTAAAAGCCAGCTCCTCTCTGCTAAGAGCAAGATAATTGCTTTTCCGGGGCCTCACTGAGCAGCAGCTGAACAGCTGTCAGCACCCCCCTCCACAAATGCTAAGCTTTTTTTCTGGATGGCTCTGGGGGGCCCAGGGGGGCTAGGAAGGAGCTGCCACCAGTATCACCACGGGCTGAGAATCTCCCCTCCCCCTGACATCTTTGCCCCCTCTTAAAGCTTCTAAATCACTTTTATTTTAACGACGCAGTAAGGCTGCTGCCCGGGTGGTGTCTTCCAGGTGGGGTGTGGGTGGTGGAGTGGAGTGAGGGACTCAGAGGGACCTGGAGGGTCATCTGCCAGTGCTCCCCCAAACTTTCCAGATGCAGAGCATCACCTGGGAGGACTTGCTAAAAATTTAAATTTCTGGGCTGTGTTCCAGACCCATAGACTTCCACTCCCAGGGGAAAGGCCTGGGAAGTTGTGGGTTTAACAATCAGCCCAGGTGATTCTTAGCAGAGGAGTTTGGGAACTATAGAGTCCAGCTCTGTTCTGGTGCTTACAGCACCCACAGCACCACGTGGCAGCTCCCTTCTGCTTGCATGCCTCTGGGAATGAGGTACTCACCACCTCCCAAGGTAGCAGACCCACTTGTGGAAGGCATACTCTAGTCTAGAGTTGCTTCTGATGTTAGGCTGTGACCTACCCAGCTGCCCTTGTGGGCTTGGAGTTCTCTCTGCTACAGGACAGACCGTGTTTCCTGGGATCTGATGTCTTTCCCTCTCCCAGCCTTGCCACTTTTTGGCTTGTTTGGGCCTCTCTGCTGGGTAAGGAGCTTCCTCTCTTAGCAAAGGGTCCTGGAGGTAGAAGGCAGGAAGGTGACAGGTGCTGTGGCCTGTCTGTAGTGTGTGAGGTGGCTGCATCATCCTATTGCTGGTAAGCATCATCGCTGGTACAGTGGAGACCCTGAGGAAGGCAGAAAGATGGTGGGCCTCAGCACTGCCTTGGCCTGTCAGGGATTCCATTCCTCCCACGAGAGAGAAAACTGGCTCATCAGAGATCGTTGTGTCAGCCATAGCTCTTAGATGACACTGGGGGGAACTGAGGGCTGAGGGGTTTCCCCAGAGACCACATATCTATTTAGGACAGAGCTGGAGCTGCAAATGTGGGGGCGAGAGGCCCTTAGAGGGGTGGCCAGGCCAAGGCCCTGGCTTTAGGGATCAGCTGAGGCCCCAGCCAGTCACTCACCTGAGGTTGGATGGGGGAGGGCTTCCGCCTTCTCAGTCACTCAGGGCTGATGGACAATTCATGGAGTCAATACATGGAAGGATTTTGGTGGAGCCGATGCCCACTCTGTCTGGCATTACAACTCTTCCTTCTGTCTGCCTAGCAGTTTCCATTGTTTTGCCAGAGGGTGTAGCATTATACTACGGCCATGGGTCTTGCAATTTTGTTTTAATAGATAATTAAGAGGGAAGGAGTGGTGCACATTTACTGGGCATCATGGCTTACTGTGAAATGGGGAGTATAATCCCCCCGTAAGCCCTGCACTCTGTAGCCCCTTACTGCACCCCCGGATTCAGCCCCACCCTCCATCTCTGTGGGAGAAGCCTGGGTCCCCAGGAGAGAATTGCCCTGTTGGGTGCTGGCAGCTGACCTATCTTGAGATCCCAGTTCCCCATCCTACCCTGAAGCCTGCTCTGGCCATCACAGTATGGCTGGGGGTGTCTCGACCCTGGGGGAAGAGGAGTAGGGGTGTCACCCAACCCTGATAGAGCTTCTGCTTGGAGAACTCCGAGAGCTGCAGAGGCAGAAGAGAGACTTACACACTCTGGGGAAGACCCAGCCCCAGAGAGAGAACTGTGTGAATATGGACACCCAGGCAAGGCCTGGGGAGGTCAGGGAGGGCCTCCAGGAGAAGGTGCCACCTGACTGCAGGCTTGAGCATGGTAGGAAGGGGAAGGGCATCCTGCGGTGGAGGTGTGATGCAGCCTGTGGGGGTGCACAGAAGAGTGAGGTAGAGCCTGCAGGGCTGGGGATGGGCTACAGAGGCCGGCTGGCCAGGGCGGGGCTGACCTGATTCAGTTGGGTGGAAAGCCACGGAAAGATTTGTCTTTAGTTCCATTGAAGTGTTACACCCATGCAGAAAAGTGTGTATCTCCTACATTTGTAGCTTGACAAATTATCCTGAAGGGCACATGCTTCTGTAGCTGCCAGGCAGATCAAGAAACAGAACCTTGCAGACCCACTAGAGCCCCCTGTGCCCTCTACTCACTGCCCCCTCAAGGATACCGACTGTCCTGACTTCCAGCCTGCTGTGAGTTATCTCCTGCTGCCCAGCAAACCACCTGAAAACTTGGTGGCTTAAAGCAGCCACCATTTATGAAACCTCACAATTCTGTGGTTTGGCTGGACTTCTCCTCCTGATTCGCTTGGGCTCATGTGACTCCAGTCACGTTTGAGTGTCTGCTGGACTGGAAGGTCCAGATGGCCTCAGTCACACGGGCAGTGGGTGCTGGCTGTTGCCAGGGGAGTTCCCCACCCTCCACTAAGACAGACACCTCCCTCCATGGCCTGCAGCCTCACAAGAGAGGCAAGGCCAGAAATGGCAGGACCTCTTGAGGAGGCCTAGTCTCTATAACTCACAAAATGTCACTCACACCGAATCCTATTGATCTAAACAACTCTCAAGGCCAGCTCTCAGCAGGTGGAGAACAGACTCCGCCTCTTGATAGGAGGAACTCCAGAGGACCCCTGCCGTATTTCATCTATTACAGGCGTAGAGTCTTTTTGCCCTTCTTGACCTTTATATAAATGGATCTCATAAGTGTATTCTCTGTCGTGCCTGGCTTTTTGAGTCAACATTGTGTTTGCAAGATTTACCCGTAGTGTTGTTGGATGAAGTTGCAGATCACTCATTCCCAAGCCTGTGCAGCAGTTTGTTGTGTGGAAACACCAGTTGACCCATTCTATGGTTGGTGGCCATCTGGGAAGTTTTCATTTTCTGGCTGTTACGAATTGCCTTGCTACGAGCATTCTAACACATGTCTTCTGGTGAACATATGCACATTTTTCTGTGGACATGGAGTTCCTGGGTCATGGGAGAGGTCACAGGGTAAGAGACCCTTCCAAACTATTCTTCCAAGTGGTGGGTCTAGTGTCTAGTGTGTGCCCCACCAGCAGAAGGGGGACTTTACAAAGACCCAGCTGAAGATGGGCTGGAGGTGCATCTTGTGGACACTGGAAGGGGCTTCCTGTGATGTCCCCTCTGCCCGCCCTGAGCCTCAGGCCCCCAGGTCAGGGGAAGTAGAGCCATGAGGCTGATCCCTCTTTTCTGAGCATGAGCTTTCCTGCTACACTTTTTCCACCCCAGAGGCCTCCTATTGCCTTCTCCTTTTCCCAGCAGCTGCCTTTCATGGTTGACCTGACCCTCAACAGTCAGGGAGGCCAGGGGTCTGCAGATGCAGGAACTGGGGGGAGACAGCCACACAGCCTCCATCCCTGAGGAGATTTGGACTTCACTCCAGCCTTGCCTTTCACCATGGGAGGAACCCTTTCCCTCTCAGGGCCTCAGTTTCCTCATTTGTAAAATGACAAGGAAAAGTATCAACCTCACCAAGTCCCTTTCTTCTCATCAATCTGACCCCATATTCTAGAATCGAATAGAGGAAGGGATGGGGGGAGGCCTCCTGACTTCAGTCAGCCCATGTTTTTCTGTTTGTTCACTGCACACTTTCACGGCACCATTCATCCATCAAGGAATCTCTGTGGTCCTTGTTAACCAGTTCAGAGGACAGAGAGAAACTAGACTTCACTCCCAATGTCCAGGAGCTGGGCCTGGAGCGGGAGAGTGTCCTGTGGGAAGCGGGAGGAGGCAAGGTTGGCCAGGCGCACAGCCCACTGGAGATGAACAAGCAAGGAGGGGCTGGTGAGAGAGGGCTCCACGGAAGCACTTGAGCAGAGTCTCAAAGGCCAGGGGCCCTTGAAAGACAGAGAAGTGGGGAGAAGAGCTCTGAGCGGGGCACCCAGCGTGTGCCAAGGCCGGAGCCAGGGGCTCTGGGAGGCCGGGCTGACTGGAGCCTAGTGGTGGGCAGGCAGGTTTGGCTGCTGCTGTGGTCTGGCTTTCAGGGCTGCGGGGCTGCTCGGCCGGTGCTGGGGCTTCGAATGTGACGTTCAGGAGCTGCGACCTTTATTTGGCAGTGGCAGGACGGTATCCAGTGTCTCGAGTAGCTCCACGTTGGTGGGCCAGTTCCATCTTCCAGGAGATGGCAGCCAGGACCTAGAGGTCCATGACGTGGGTGAGGGGCTGCCCGCAGGGTCAGAGCTTGGAGCTCACTGCCCCCTTTCTTGTCTCCCATAGGACTCACGGCAGCTGTGTTCTGATTTCGTACTACTGCTGGGGCTGCCACCTCCTCCTCCAGACGCTCTCAGCAGACTTGAGTCCTGGTCCTTCTGCAGAGGCCTGAGCAGGTAAGTGGGATGGGCTGGCCCTCTGGTGCTGTGCACCTGCTGACGTGGGGCAGACAGGGAGTGCGGGCTGCCCAGAGTGCATGGTGCTGTTTCAGGGGCCCAGAGGGCTGGGGAGGGGAAGGGGCTTCTTTCTCAGTCTTTATTTGTTCCTTGGCCTTTTCCTCTCAAAGAAAGCCACACAGTGGAGGGTGGTGAATGTCCTGACTTGGGACCTGGACATGGGATTTTATTCTGCTGCCAACTCCCAGTATCGCCTTGGGTAGCCCTTTCCTTCTAGAGGGCCTCAGCTTTCTACTCTAGTCCATGGAAATAACAGTAATGATATCCTCTAACCCGACAAGCACTTAACTGTATTCTGGGTACTGTGCAAAGTACTATAGAGTTATTACTTCTTTCAGCATCACAGCAGCCTTATGAGAGCATTGCTGTAATCACCAGCATTGTACATGTGAGAAAACTGAACGTCACTCACTCAGGAAGTAACTTGCCCCAGGCGGCACACCTGGCTGAGCCTAGGGTTCAAGTCCAGGTCTGTGTGGCTCCAGTGCGCCAGCCACTGCCCGCTGGCCTACTCTGCCTCTGGCCTTGCTCCTAGCTTCTTTTTGGGGGTGGGGATCAGGGCAATTATGGGTGTCTTCAGAAGTGCCAGATCCTGTCCCAACTTAAGAAAAAGGGAGAGGGGCTTTTACCAGGTGACAGGCTCCTGGTGGGTCTGGGGTCATGACCCATTTGTGATGTGATGTGGCAGGGACCAGGCCTGGCCTCTGGGTGCCTCTGAGGTGGCAGCCAGGGCCCCCTCTAGAGGAGGGGTGTGTAGGCTGGATAAGGCTTTCTTTCCCTCCGCCCCTCAAGTTCGTTTTCCTAAGCTTGTATTAAACACTTACTGTGTGCCAACTCCTGGATTAGGTACCAACTGCGGTGCAAGGGAAAGGGGCCTGTCCCACTCTCTGCTCCGTGGAGAAACAGAAAGATCCCAGTGATGTGGCAAGCCCCATAACAGTGGCGTGGAGAGGGTTCAGAGGCTGGGGGGAGAATTCTGGGGAGGTGACCACAAGTGAGTTACAGTGTGGGGAGACAGAAGCATAGATGGAGCAGAACCTGGCAGGATGTGCATGCACACACAGACATGAGTGGTGGTGAGTGCATAGATAATACAGATGTGCAAATGTGCGCTTCCTCACAAACGTGTACACAGACGTCGCTTCTGCATGCCACATGAATGCACACAGATAACACTTGCGTGCACTTGCATGCTCACATACACATGCACAAACTCGTGTTGGAACTACACACATACACGGGCACAAACTCTCACAAGCACACAGCATTCTGACACACGGGGCTGCATATCCATGCACACACAACGCAGGGTGCATTCCAACAAGAAGAGGCAGTTCAGAGGTCGATGGCTCTGCATCGGCAAAAGCTTCCAGCAGCTCCTGGGAGGCTCTGGACAGCCTGGGCCGAGGCTGAGCTGGAGCTCTGTTTGTGTGTATGTTGGGGAGGGTGTTGGGGCTTGAGGGCCAGCCATGTGACTGACCATGGACAAGCCCTTGCCCGCTCTAGGACTCATTCCCCATCTGGAAACAGGAATCGTCCCTGTCCGCCTCCTATACGGTGGCCGCAAGGATGAGAGGCTGCTGTGTAGATTGCCGAGAGCAATTTTGGGCACTCTGCAGGGCTTCAACAAATTGAAGCTAGTAGTCTCATGAGAATAAAACAGGTTACAGGTAAAGTGGGGATGTGGGGGCTGTTCCTCTCCAGGCTTCTCATCCCCTGGGGCCTGGGTACTCTCTGAATCATGGGCATGACAGTCCACCCTGCCTGCCTCCACCAAGGTGGTGGGGTCTGTGTCATCCCTGCTCCCGCTCTCCCACCTGCACTTCCCTGTTGACTCGTGAGGAGTTGGGGGCCTGCAGTGCCCAGCTTTGGTACAACAACCACATTTGACTCCCTGCCAGGAGACTGGCACATTGCCTCCATGAGTGCTCTAAATCCCCTTGAGAAGCCTGAGAAGGCCTTACCAAGCAATTTCCAGATGAGGAAACTGAGGCACAATAAATGCAGGTGAGGTTCTCAGGGACACCTGCTCATAAGTGTTGGAGCTGGGCTTCGGATCCACGTCATCAGATGTGAACATTTATGCTCTTTTCTCCCATGATCTCCTCTCAGGGATAGGTCATTTATTACCCACTTTGCAGATAAGGAAACTGAGGCTCAGAGAGGGCAGGCCACTCAGCCAGGAAGTAGCACAGCCAGAATTGGGTGCTTATTAACCACACTGCACCCACCTCAATTCAACACTTCCTTTTCCTTTCCCTCCCTCCTTCCCAGAGAGCCCCTCCAGGTTAGAGGGGGTTCCCGAGGAGGCTTCTGGGATTATCTGGGCTTTAGTTCTGACCTAGTATTCCCAGGCATACCTGCCATTTTCTTGCAAATAGAAAGATAGGCTATTCTCTGGGGTCTGCTTTCTAGCATGACCTAGTAACTTCCTCTCCACAACTCCTTTGTAAAGTATCCTTAGGATTGTCCTTTGGAAACTTGGCCAGCAGAAAGCTCTGGGGTACCCAAGAGGCTTGGAGGAGTCCTAGGCCTTTGGAGAGGTAGCCACTGCTTGCATATCCACTGGGAGGCTCTGTGACCTGCTAAAGGATCAGGGTGTGGGACCACAGCACAGGGAGCCAAGGTTCTGCTTGGCATGGGTGGTAGGTACCACTATGGAAGGAAATTGGGAAGGATCCCCGGGAGGTGATATTTACGCTGGGCCTTGGAAAGAGGAGAAATTTGCTAGGTTGATGTCAAAGGCCAAGGAAGACCCAGCAGAAGGCTCAGCTCCACCAAAGTCCCAGAAAAGTGAGAGTTTATTCATGGCCCTTCGCACCTGCATCTGTACCCAACAATACCCATCAGAGTCTCCTAGAATTAGGGCCAGCTAAATAATTTAGCTGTGGTCCAATGCTAAATGAAAATGCAGAGCCCTTTGTTCATGAATTACAAAGGATTTCAAGATGATGACAGCAGAGTAGGGTCCTTCTAAGCTTGTGGCCCTGTGTGACGGCCAGTGAAGCCAACCCTGCTTGAGTAAGTGTAGCAATTGTGGGATTTAGCGCCAAGAACTGAGTTCACGTGCAGGCGCCACCAGTTACTTACCAGGCCCACGACCTTGGGCAAGTCCTCCTCATCTCCATAAGCCTCATCTGCCAATGAGCGATGGTACCCTCCTGCCTGCAGAGGAGGGTCAGTGGTGCCAGCATCTAGCTTATCCCAAGCAGTCCAGGACAGAAGCTTTGGCCGGGGTGGAGTGGCAACTCTTTCCGTCACGTAGTGATGTTCAAGGCTCTCCTGACCCACCCCATTTACCTTCCAGCGCTGCCCCTGTCTACCTTGGTGGCCTGGTTTTTTGTGCTTTTCCAAATCCACCTGGCTGGGCAGTGGAGGGTATGGGGAGTCTACTCTGTTTTATTTGCAGAGCCTCCTGTCTGGACTGCTCCTTGCCCACACTCCCATCTCTCCTTGGCAGACTCACTCCTGCAGGTTAGATGTCATGCAGATTTCTTTGACCCCCCAGCTCCTCCCTTCCAACCTTTACTCTGTGATACCTTCAGTAGCTGCAATGACCTCTTGCACTATAGAGTTCTCTACAGTGTGCGAAGTCCTTTCACACCCATCACACCCTGGAGAGCTCTTGAAAGGCCCTATTCCCATTTGCTAGATAGGAAAACAGAGGCTCAGAGGTACAACCATCCTAAGTTCCTGGGCTGAGGTCAGACCCACATCGGGTAGGGGTGTAGACAGTGGCAGCAGAGAATGGTACCTAGGCTCCACCCTCGGCCGCCTCATCTTGCAGCATTTGGGAAAACTGGCTTTTCCCTTCTGGTAGAAAGCTCCAGCCCCTGGCCCAGGAGAGGTATGTGGGTTGCTGAAGAGGGCCTGGTAGAGCGCAGAGGTCCAGCCAGCTAGAGCAGACTAGCGCCCAGCCCTGCTTTTCCCCACAAGTGATGTGGCCCAGTTCACGTGGCTCGGCGGACTAGAGCCAGGTATACATGGCTCTGAAGTCTGGGGCAGAGGTGAGAAGGCCCTAGCTGGCCTGGGCTGCAACCGCAGGCAAAGGCTGGCCACAGATGAGAGGGGTATCGTGTCAGGGGCATGACAAACTGTTCCATATGGCTGGCACTTCACAAAAGACACTCAAAACACTCTTGGTGGATGAGTGTGGAGGATGCTGGCAGATTGCGGCTGTGGACCGGGCTGAGGCATGGAGGTTTTCCAGCTCTGTTACCCCTTTCTTTGTGGCTTCTGATGAGCGACTTCATCTCTCTGTGCCCCATTTCCTCATCTGTAAAATGGGGAGAATATCCCTCTAGTTGGGAGGGATTCAACGAAGTAAGCCATGGGCACTCTCACAGCCATGCCTGGAGCATGGTTAGTGCTTTCTGGCACTTTCTAGCATGAAGAGTGGAGGTGGCAGTAGCGGGAGTGAGTAGGGGGTGGACTCCAGGGCTGTGGCCACACAGGAGGGTTTCCTCCACTGAGCAGCATGGTTGTGCGGTCTTTTAAGAGAAGGTGGAGAGGGAGATCAGGGATTGGGGTTGGGCTGGATTTGGATTTCATATGAGGCAATCCCAAACAGCTGTTGCTCAGAGCTCTGTGGGCAGCCACCTGGGGTGAGGGCTGCACTCTCCTCGCCAGCCCCTCCAGCCCCTGGTGTGTGGCTTTAGGCTGCCGGCATGCACACCCTAAGTTGTCAGTCAGCAGACTTCCAGGGTTACATAGGCGGTTTGGGGCTGGCCATGAAGACCTTGAATGCCAAGCCCAGCTCACAGCAGGCCTGGCCAGGGCCCAGCCCGTGGCCACA
This sequence comes from Homo sapiens, assembly GCF_000001405.40. Classification (NCBI taxonomy): domain Eukaryota; kingdom Metazoa; phylum Chordata; class Mammalia; order Primates; family Hominidae; genus Homo; species Homo sapiens. Next base: position 79,123,880 of record NC_000010.11, read on the forward strand.
CGGAGCTGGGATTCCAGGGTCCGCATATGGCATGCCTGTCAATCTTCAGCGCCAGCTGAGAATGCACACCTCTCCTCCCACTGCGTGAAATCTGTGGCCTGCAGCCCAGGCCCTCCACCCCAGCCTCTGCAGCCTGCTATGACTCCACAACCCCCACCCAAGCCTGGATCTGGGAATCGTTTGCAGCTCACTGCTTATTCCTGCCCAAGGTAGGATGCCCCTCTAGGTCAGGAGGGTGGGACTGCTGTCCTGGTGGGCCCTCTGAGCAGGACTTGTGTTCAAGCCTCAGTCCCATTAAGAACTGCTGTGTGACCTTGGACAAGTTGCTGCCCCTCTCTGAGCAGCTGTTTATTGGTCTGTAAAATCAGAGGATTGGGGTAGGTCAGGGATTACAAACTGCAGTCTTCAAGGGTGTCAACAACCCATTGAAGTTGGGACTATCCTGTTGTACAAATGAGAAAACTCAAAGCACAGAGAGGTTAAGAAACTTAGCCAAGGTCACACAGGTTATAGTGGAGCTAGGACTCAGCCCAGTTTTATCTGACACCATAATATGTGTTTTCCCTACCACAACAAACTGCCTGTCACAGATACTTGCTTGTTTGCTGGGTGATCCATTTTGTCCATCAGCCAGCTTGGTGTTGAACACTTCCTTGTGCTCCTGCACCGTGCTAGGCCCTGGTATCCAATAGTGAATCTTCAGTTGAGCTGGGAGAGCACAGCTCCAGGTCCGGAGTTCTGAGTAGAGGTCACAGTCTCCAGTGCAGGGTTGCTAGGTAGGTGCAGCTCTTTCCTCATGCTGTAGGAGGCAGCCAGAGAAGACTTCCTGGTGGAGGGGTAAGGGGAGTGGGGTTCCTATACAGAGTGGAAGAGTAGGGTCTTCCTGGGGTCTCTGCACAACTGGGTGGCATGGGTCAGGGCAGTCCGGCTGGGGAGGAAGATTCATTCAGCCACAGCTGAGGCAGCCCCTGAGGGCCTTGAATGCTAGGCCACAGAGTTTGGCCATGAACCTGCAGGGAGTGGGGAGCTAAAAGAGACTGCAGGGCAGTGGCACCTCCTTTGTGAGAGCTAGGAGGGCTGGCCTCAGCTTGCAAGCTAGGGCAAGGGTGAGGTGTGGTCCAGTCTAAGACTTAGTTCACCCAGGAACTGTGGCAGCAGGAAGAGCAAGGTTGGAGGCTTGTCCACTGGCCGGACCTTCATGCTCCACCACGGCCTCTTCAGCAACCCAGGCACCTCTGCTGGACCAGGCGCTGGGGCTTTCTACCAAAAGGGAAAGCCAGTCTTCTCAAATGCTGCAAGATAAAGCGACCGACGATGGAGCCAGGTGCCACAATCTGCACACCTCCCCCAACCCCATCTGCCATGGGCCTGACCTCAGCTCAGAGCTTGGGGCAGGCGTTGCTCAGTGACACAGTGGGATCAGAGAGGCTCAGAGACCAGCCCGGGGGCACACAGCATTCCTCATGGTGGGTACAGAGGCTAGAGCAGGTAGGCAGCATCTTTCCCAAGAGAGGTAGGTCTGGGTCTCCCTCTGGCCGTCCCAGGGTCCTGGACATGCTTCATGGATGGTGTGTGCTCACTCTGGTAGGAGTGTAAGGTTGTAAAGAGTTTCCTGGGTGTTACTTACTGAGGGCGCTTCTCCCTCCCACTGATGTTTGCCCCACTGGCTCTTTTTGAGCTCTGGAGTTTGTCTCTTTCTGGTTCATGAGCCACACACCCAGGCCACACATTGGGGCAGAGGACAGCCTTGGCCGTGCCTGTGTTCCTAGGTCTGAAGCCTCAGCGACCTTGCAGCAAGTAATAGACACTGGGTGGGGCCACAAGCGTGACATCTTTATTGGAATAAAAACAAAACCACAGCCTCTCTCTCGTGTTGGGAGGAGTGGTCTTTAGAAATCATTTTACCCACCCCACTCATGGCACAGATGAGGAAACTGAGGCCCAGAGATAGGAGGGCATGCCCCAAGGTAGCCAACATGGCGCTTCAGGCTATCAGCTGAGTGCAGGGCCACACTAAACTGTGTAGGCTACATGGGGGTGCAGAGGCTGGCAGGGGCAGGGACCAGCAGCAGCGATAGGAGCCTTCTATCTGCAGAAAGGCAGGACTGACCCTGAAGGGCCAAGGAAGCTCTGGGGACCTGTGGAGAGCCACCCAGAACTGGGACTGAGAGCTGCACGGGAACCCGCAGACCTGGCTCCGTGGAGCCGCATTTGTGTTCTGCCTCCTGCTGTGAGAGGTTCGCCACCACAAGCAAGGGCTTATCCTGTCATCCATTTACCCAGAGAGCCCCAGTGAGGCCGGGATTTGTAGGCCCAATGGTCAGGGCTAGGGGCAACGCCTCAGAGTCAGGGCCTAGTGTGAGGCTTATAAGGGGCAAGGGAGTGAAGAAATAAAGTGGACTCAGGAAACCAGGGGCTGCCCTTCCCCTCATCAGCCCCCTCTGCCAAGGCTTAGCAGAGTGTCCAGCAGGCTCAACCATCTGGGAGGCTGCTGACCACAGGCAGCATGGCATTACCTAGGGCCAGGGTCTAGGGGCTCTGAAGGCCTCAGGGGTCAGGGAGAGCTTCCTGGAGGAGGTGAGTGCCAGCTGAGCCCCAAAGAATGACCAGACTGTGAACCAAACTGAAAGCATTCCACGCAAAGGGAACAGCTGGGCCAAGACCCTGTGGCAGCCACACTGGGGCAGATAATGGGGGCTTTGTGGAGGCTAGGACTGCTCAGGGAAAGAAATGAGGCTGGAGGTGCCCCCGGGGGGTTGGAGACGGCAGAAGGAAAGAAGGTTATATTTTGCTTTTAACTTGCTAAATGCCCCTGAGTAGATCACTGCCCCACTTTTGTGCCTCAGTTTCCCTTTTATCTCCTCTGAGCTTCAGGCACCTGGGGAGCCACAGCAGGGAAGTGCCTCAGTGGAAGAGTCCGCTTCTGGAGGCTTTGAGCTGATGCTGGGGATATGAGCTGAGGGAAGTATGGGCTTCCCCAGCACCTCGGGGGCAGTTGGCCCAGAAGGCTGCTGCTGGACCCAAGGCTTCTCCCCAGTGGAGGAGAGCTGACCTAAGATTTCTGGGGTTTGCCAGGCTGGACCAACCTGAGAGGATGAGGGATTAGGTCCCTGGGGCAGCCCCCACTACAGACTAAGGACCTGGGTCCCAGGATAAAATGAGAGATGCGCCTCCCTTCTCTTTGCTGTGACCAACTCCTTCTTTCCTCCTTCTGCCTCCTTCCCTCCTGCTGGGGACAGGGAGGGGACAATATTTATTCCTTCCCAAGGCTGCAGCTGACTGATACCCTGATGCAGAGGAAATGCCATGCCAGTGCCAGGCATGCTGCCGGCGCTCTGGGTGCCTGGTGCCCTCTCCAGGTGTGGCTCCTCCCCATAGCCCTGGGCTCGGCCGGTCTGTGTTTGCAGAGCCTCCACTGACCTGCAGCGGCCTCTCTCTCATGCCTCTCCTATCAGCAGAGCGCCAGCCATGGGCTCCTTGGACTACAAGTCCCCGGGATTGCGCAAATTCCCCCAGCAGTTTGCACAGCAGCCAGCTCAGGCCCCGTCAGATGGCCCAGGTTCCTGCTCGGGAAGCCCATTCTTTTCTGGAATAATAAAGCAGCCACCCCACAGCAGGGGGTGGCAAGCTTCTCTTATCCTCACAACCCCTGACTCATGTCACCCTCATAATATCAAGTGGGCTGGGGCGGGGTGGGGAGGTGGGTGGCGTTTTCCAGAGGGGGAACTGGAGTCAGAGAAGAGAAGGCATGAGACTTGACCAGGGTCACACGGCCCAGCCAGGACTCCAACCAGGCCCCTGCTCAGCCTTTTTAGACCGAGCCAGTGTTTCCTGTTCAGGGCCATGCAGGAGGTGAGTCAGGAGCAGGCCCTTTGCAGGAGCTGCTGGGGGCCAGCAGGAGAGGCCACCAGTCTCTGTCTTCCCTCTTTGGCTCCAGCTGCTTTAATTGGCTGGGGCTGCCAGTGGCGCTGACATTTACCTGGTGGGAAGGAGGGCCTCCTCCCTCTTGAATTGAGATGCTAAAAATAACAGGGCCCAGCTTCCCAGGGCCACTGCTCAGCCAGCGCCTGCCTGCCCCCTCAGCTACCTTTTTCCTGGGTGCTGGAAGCTAATTGCTTTGCAAGCATGCAGTTCCTTGCGCTGAGAACTTCCTAGGGATTGGGACAGGAGGCATTGCATGCTCAGCTTCTGAGTCTAAAGAGGGGTCTCTGCAAGACCTCCCTCCCCTCCAGGCAGCAGGGTGATGGTCTTCTGCCTCAGGTCTCCCTCCCCCTTTTCTCCCTGGGTGCAGTACCTGTCCAGGTTGACTACTCCACCCCTAGGTGCTTGGGTGCCTTCTTTGAGCTGCCAGAGTTTCCCCTGCTCTAAGAGAGGGGGCTCTGCCCTCCTTGGAGTTTTCTAGTACTCACCTCTCCCTGCACCATACTCGACCCAGACATATGCGGTGTGGCCCTCTGCCCTCATGCTGTTCATTTTGTCATACCAGCAACCAAGAGGAGCCCAGGCTTCGGAGCTGGACAAGTTTAAATCCAGCTGTGTGACCATAGCACATTTCCAAGCCTCTCTTTTCTCATCTCAGAAATGGGCATGAATCTGACCTTTGCAGTGTTGTTGCAGAATGAATCGCAGTGGGCAAAACATGCCTGATCAAGAGTGGAGCCCCTGGGGCCAGGAGGAGGCGTGTGTACATCATGGGGCGTTCCTTTCTCTTGCTGTGTAAATAGACCCTGGAACTCAATAAATTAGATTGATTGGACCAGAAGGGGAAGGTCTTGAAGACCCAGGCTAAGGATTAGGGACTCAGTCTCCCTGAAAACAGGGTATGCTTGCCAATCCCCAGGGCACCTCCAGAGTGGCCTGTGTGTTTGTCCAGTTCTTGCCCTGGGTCAGTGTGACCATAATCATTTTGACATTGGCCAGCATCTCCCGGGCTTTGGGATCATTCCAGTGGAAAAAGTAGTTTTCAGTGCTCTATGCTTGGCAGGTGTGAGAGCCTGGGCGTGCTTAACCCATCCACACCTCAATTTCCTCATCTGAAAATGGGGATGATAATACTTCCTTCCCCGTTAAGTATTGTAAGGATTAGATTAGCAACATATGCACAGTACTTAGAAAGTCTGGTGCAGGGTAACACTTGGTATGTGTTAGCTGGTACTCATAGTAGTAAGAATAGTCTAGCAGTTGGGAGTAATAACAGCAGCCACCTGCCGTTTGTTTAATGGTTTTTATCAGATGCTGTGCCGGATGCTAAGCACTTTAAGTACATTATTTAATGTCACTCTCCCCCACCTCCCAGCAACCATACACAAGGTACTGTTATAAGCTCTGAGTTCCAGATGAGGAAACTGAGACACAGAGAGTAGTTGAACTGAAAACCAGAGTTCAGCATCAGCCCCACTAGGGTGGCCGTCCAGATTGCCTGGGACCGTCCTGGTTTTAGCATGGAAAATTCTGTGTCCCAGAAACCTGTCACTTGTGGGCAAACCAGGATGGTTGACCACCCAAGGCCTGCCTGAGTCCACTGGCCCCACTCTGAAGCCCACAGGATCCTCTTCTTGGCGCAGGGGCTTGCTGGTGCAGTCGCTCGGCCCCTTCCCACACCTCATAGGCCCCTCCCCCAGCCAGATTGTGCCTGCCCATCCCCCAGGGCCTGGCTCCAGTCTCCTCTCTGGCTTCCTCTCTTCCCTCCCCTCTGCCAGCAGGAGGGGCATGACTCATGCCTGGTGGGCTCTTTGCTCAAGGCTGTGACTGCAGTTGTCTGGTGGACTCTGAGCTGCCCCTCACCAGGCCTCAGTCTCCCTATTTGCACTGAGGGCTTTAGTGGCTTTGCTCCCAGCTTTCTGGAGACGTTCAGGAAACCTCTTCCTTGAAAGAGGGAGGGCAGAGCGAGCCCCTGCCCCCAGCCCTGGCCTGAGCAGTTGGGAGGGATCGCACTGGCCCTTCCGGTGCATTGATGGAGTGCACTGCTGACAAAGGAGAAAGGTCAGCAGGGGGACAGAGCGGAGTTGGTGGTGGCCTGCTGGCCTGCAGTGCCCTCCCACAAGATAGGGCTTCCTGGGGGAGGGGAGCAGTGCTCCCTGGGCTCTGGGTCAATTCATATTGATGCAGGCAGCTGCTGGTTCAGCAAAGCTGGGCATCCAAGCCCCCAGAGGGCTGCGGGGAGATGCCTAGGTCATCCTTGACACCTCACTTTCCCTGACCCCCACATCCAACAGTTGATTAGGCCCCCTTAACCATCTCTGGATCTGTGACCCTCTCAGCATCTCACCCCTGCTGGGGACCATCTTCCTGCTTCTGAATCCCTGAGCCCTTTCCAGCCCTCCCTGGCTTCCCCCATCACCTTGCATAAAGTCAGAATTTTGAGGCTGACATTAAGGCCCTTACTGAGCTCAGAAAGGCTGCCCAGAGCTGCCCAGGCCTTCCCTAATATCAGCCTTCTTGTGCCCTCCACCCTCCAACCCCAAGGTCATGTGAAAGGTCTGGGGACACCCTGAGTGCCAGGCCCAGCGCTGTCCAGTCAACACTCCAACCCTACCCAGTATACAGGGCTGAGCCTGCAGCAGAGCTGCAGCCAGGTGCCAAATGGATGCAGTGCCCCTGCCGTGCCCTTCTCAGACTCCCCCTTGAGCTGCTGCCATGCGGTTGCCCAGTGGATCTCATGCCCCAGCTCCCAGAGGGCAGGAGTTATCTGTCTCCCCAGCACACATGCAGACCAAGATGATGGCAGGAAAGCGCCATGGTTGGTGCATAGGCGCTGGGGTCATAATATGAGGGTCTGATTCCGGCTCCATCACTGACTAACCGTGTGACCTTGGGCAGTCACTTAACCTCTCGGTGCTTCAATGACATCATTTCTGAAATGTGGGTAATAATATTCTGTCCTTCACAGGATAGTGGGATTCAATAAAGTGACACTTATGAAGTGTTTGCAGGGTCCCAGAACATTTTAAGGATCAGTAAAGTGAGCTCCCATCAGTCATCATCAGGCAGGTATCTATGAAATGAGCACCGTCTTCCAAATGGGGCCCTCCCAGTTCTTTGAAGGGTCCTTGCATTTTTGCCCGGATTGTTCCCTCTTTGTCTTCCTCCTGCTCTAGCATCCCGCTGCACCCCCGCCTGACATCTCCTGAGACTCCAGGAAGCCAGCCTGCCCTAGCCTTGCATTCTTGCCTAATCCACCCCATTGCCATGGAATGCCTTCAGGCTATGGCCAGGAGTTCTTCCCATGTCCCCCACAGCTCTGCACAGGTTCATGGACCACAGTGGATGCCTAATAAGAATTTGTTGGGTTGAACCGATATTCACCAAGCAAAGTCACCTCCAAGAACAATGCAGCAATGACCAGCCAGGCCTCTGGGCCCATCCACAGCCCATTGAGGACATTTCTGAGACCAGTCCTGAGCTACTCTGTGCAGGAGAACAGCACGTGCCCACTCTGGCCTCTTCGGTGGCGGGGGATTGGGGATAGGTGGGGGTGGCACTGGGGCTCAGCAGCCACACTGGAAGGTTTTTCAGGGGGTTTATCTCCCTCTTCTCTGAGCTGTCGTGCCTGTTTTGTTTGCCTCGGTCCCTTCCCCACCCCCACAGTTCTCTGTTAAATTGTGTTATTATATTTAAACAAATCAATTCCATTGCAGAGTTTTTCCTGTCCTAATGATGAGTTTGCAGCACAAATGCCATTGATTTCTCACAGCCCTGAAAACCAGTTGATGAATAGCACCAGGCTTGTCTTTGGAGAGGCACTTAGAGCAGCTCTGCATGGCCCCCTCTGCTTCTCCCCTGTGCTGTCCCCCTCATTCAGGACCCCACCTCCACCCCACACTCTGCTGCCCCCTGAGTTGGGGCTGAAGTCATGTGATAAAGGGAGACCCTCTGTGCTGGCCAGGGCTGGAATGTCATCGCAAGGGCCCGGCCCCTGTTCTGGTGGAACAATCATAGTGGAGATTTGTATTGATTTTGGCCAAAGGCACAACTTACAGAGCAGAGAAGTGGTGCGGTGTGATCTTTGTCTTCCCTTACAAGTTCAGAGCGCGTTCCTGAGAGTGATGGCAGATAGCAGCTCAGACACCATTTCTAGACCTTGCCAGGGCTGCTGAAAGACCTTTGAGCACTGCTGTTTTAAAGGGAGGCTCCAGAGGTTTGAGAGCTGTCTGCACTGGGGAGTGTAAAACTTCCCTTTGTGAAATCCTTCAGAACCTGCAGTGTTCAAAGTCACGGTTAAACCACTACCCTGGGCTTTGACTTTCAGATCACTGCCACGTGCACGAGCTTCTCTGAGCTTTCTAATGACCCCGGGGCTTGGGTGGGCAGGTAATATTGTTCCCCTTTAGAGGCCGGCAGACTGAGTCAGGGTAGTCACTGGAGAGAGGGAAGGGCTGCTTGTCCACTCCAAGTCCTGAGTGCAGCAGTGGCTCCCATGTCTCCTCCTACAAGGGTAATACATGGCAGGGGAGCTACTCTGATCACCAGCCTTTTCGGCCGGGCTTTCTGTCTGTCTGAGCCCAGGTCCTCGTGCAGGTGTCTCCACTCAGCTGCTGCCTGCAGCATACCACACAAGCCTGTGTATTGGGCTGGAGTGAGGCAGCAGGGAGCAGCGAGGACTGTGGCATTCTGGAGAGTGCCTGCCCCACCTAAATTCCTAAAAGTTTGGACAACCCATGCCCGTAAAAGTATACTACATGGGATGAGACTGGGGGCCAAATTTGCTGCCTCTCCCCTATTCTAATTCAAGCCTTTGTTTTGGAGACTAGAATGTGTGGCCCAGAATTGGAAATGGCTCTTCAAGGTCACAGCACAAAGCAGTGGTGAGCTGGGGTTTGGGTCTGGGAGAAGGCGATGAGGCCCCACAGCCAGTGTTCTCTCCCCTCCCTCAGGCTTGGCGAGGCAGTGGGGTGGGGGCAGGGCCAGGGACTGTGTTCTAGGGAAGATGGGCCCCTCACCCCTGAGTTCAGGGGTAGCTCAGCAGGCCCCACTTCCCTTTTTTCTCCCTTCCTCCTTCCCTCCCATGCAGACAGACCTCCTGTCCCTGTAATCAGGTTAGCCTCCTGCTCCGATGAGCTGGACCAGCTGCCTCTTAATGACCTGTCGACCTGGCCCCCTCGCAGGCTCTGGGGTGGGGGAGGGGAAGCTAAGAAAAGAACGGTCGGTGGAAAGAGGCTGTCCACTCCCTTGATTCAGACCTTTCCACAGCTTCTAGGATCAAGTCCAAACCCTTAGAATAGCATCCAAGACCCTGCTTGCTTCTCCAGCACCCACCCCCTAGTACACTCTTTTCCTGCAGTCACATGATGCTGTTTCCTACCTCCCTGCCTTTTCACATGCAGGTCCTTTGGCTACTTCCCACCTTCTCAGAAAACTCCTGTGCATCCTTCAAAACCCAATTTGTGCCTCTTCCTCAGGACTGCTTCCTCTGGGTTCCTGCCTCTGTACTCTCACAGCATTGGGTGCTCTGCTGGTCTGGAACTTATTCCCACTGTGTTGGCCTCCATTATTCCTGGATCTGGTTTCTCCGGAGTTCCGGGAGGAAAGGAAGAATATTCCCTTCCCTCTGCACCTCAGGGGTACAGCACAGAGAAGTGCTCAGTGAAAGTATAGGGCCAGCAAAGAAGAGAGAAGTAGGGACCAGGGAAGAGAAAGAGACAGACAAGAGTATAAAAACAGCTGCTCCCAGCCCCTCATACTGCCCTAGCCTGCTTCCTGCCAGGGAGGCCATTCCTAGCGACGCATGCCTGGCCTGAAATAGACACATGGGGACCTTGGTAGTGCATTTTCATAGCTCAACACTAAGCACCCCCCTCCCCCTTATTCCTTGGGCACTGAAGCTCCCTCTCCTCCCAGGGCCTTGCCTCTGCAGCCAAGACCCCTCCTCCAGCAGTGCCCAGACCTCACCCCTCTGTTTCTGTTAACTTTGTTTTATAAATAAATCATATAAATAGGCTCCTCTGATTCCTCGGAGCATGCAGTGTTTAAGGACTGGGGCATTGCCGCAGGCATAATTGTACTACCGAATCCATCAGCTGCCTAATTACCATTCATTTTGCATTTATTTCTGCTAATTAAAAAGAGAGAAACTCCTAACAACTTTTACATAAATACTATATTTGTTCTATGTAAAGATGGATGCTAATTTGCTGGTGATTAGCTGATTATCGGATTTTATAGCTGTCACACAGGATGGCCCTCTCTCCCATTTGTACCCCGGACACCACTTGAGGCCCCTGATCAGATATGGGAGGAAGGGGTCAAGGGAGGCCCACCTGGGGGGTTCGAGGGCCTGTCTGAAGCCCGGGGTCACCAGGAGCACCAGATGCCACTGGGGCTCAGGGCGGGGTAGGGGGAAGGTGCTGCAGTCTGATTGGTGGAGCTGGGAGGAACCTGTGGCTCACTCACCGCTTCTGTATAGATGGAGAAACTGAGGCCCAGAGAGGCCTAGCACTTCCCAGCAAAACAGTGACCAGGGACAGAGTCAGACTGCTATTCTAGACTGGACTCCAGTGCCCATCCCACTGTTGTATGCTGTTGTCAGGAGGAATTTGCAGGGAGGTGGCTTTATCTGCTGCTGGAGAACTATGAGGACCAGACTCCAACTCATGCAGAGGAAAGGAGCACTTAGCCCATGGCCCAAACTGAACCCTCTGTGTACCCTTCTGAAAACCTCCACCTCCTTCTACTTCCCTGGGCAGCCCTGGGCTTTGCCCCACGGCACCCTGACTGCACTTAGCTAGGCTTTCTCCCAACCTGGATTGAGACTTCCCCAGGACTGGCCTTGCACCCTGTGGGCTATCCGGACACATGTGAGGGTGTCAAATTTTAACACTATGTATGTATGTTCATGTAACTAAGGAAAAAAATATAATTAATACATCAAACCCATGATTTCACAGATCATAGTGCTTTTGATGAGGCTAAGTAAAAAAAAAAGTAATTGGTTTAAAGTGATATAAATAATTAAATAGTTTTTTTTTTTGAGATGGAGTTTCGCTCTTGTTGCCCAGGCTGGTGCTATCTTGGCTCACTGCAACCTCTGCCTCCCGGGTTCAAGTGATTCTCCTGTCTCAGCCTCCCGAGTAGCTGGGATTACAGGCATGCGCCACCACACCCAGCTAATTTTGTATTTTTAATAGAGAAGTGGTTTCACCAGGTTGGTCAGGCTGGTCTCGAACTCCTGACCTCAGGTGATCTGCCCGCCTCCGCCTCCAAAGTGCTAGGATTACAGGCATGATCCACTGCACCTGGTTGATACATTTTTAAGTACATAAAGAATTAAGATGGAATATGGACACGGCTTACAGTACCTAATAAGGTGGGTTATTTGATAACTTGAGGAGGGTCTGAGAAGACCAGGTCAGGAGGCCAGGCAGTTGAGGTCAGGGTCAGCAGTGACCTGGGGCAAGGTGGGCCAGGTCTGCAGCCACCACTGCCCCATCCCATGACTGGGCAGATGGTGCCCTCAGATTGTGCCCTTCTCTCCCCAGCCCTGCAGTTGGTCAGAATTAGCCCACAAGAGAGCAGTCATTTGTCCTCCTAAAGGTAGTTTCACTGGGACTCTGTTGGGGGAGGCCAGGAGGTTGGACATTACCCCATTTCCCACCAAGCCACCAGTTGCGAGTGTGTCACTTCACATGGACATGCGGTGCACCTGTTTCCCCTGGCATTGATAGGTGAGACACTGACTGGCCCCTGTTCTCTTTCTTCCTGGCCAATCTGAAAATGCCCAGTTCTCGAGTTAAAGGGATAACAGCTTTGACAAGGCCAGGTGTTGTCTGGGTGGCCAGAGAGCTAAGGGTCAGGGTCAGCGTGGCCCATTGGCCCATTGGAGATCCCCAAGGCTTTGGGGTCCAAGGGCCAGGGTTCCAGGCCTGGCTGCTGCTTCCCAAAGCGTCAGTCTCCTCCTCTATAAGATGGGGACAGTTGTGCTGAAAGGGTTCTGAGGGTCATGTGCAAAGTGTCCCTCAAAGGAAGACTCAGTACAGCCGGCAGTGAGCCCAGTTCCAGGGGCCCTCTCGGCCACCCACCCACCCGCCGCCGCTGTGTCTGTGCCGCCAGAGATCTCCCTCTCATCAGCCCCTTTATCGCCCTGTACACAATCAGGGGAAGCTGGGAAGGCCGCTGGGGCTGAGGGCAGATGGAAAACAAAGAGAGAAAACAAAGGCACTGCTCCTAGGGGGCCAAAAGGCACCTGCCTCCTCCCCCAGGCCTGGCCTTGGCCACCCCAGTCCTCCAGGATCTGCCCCACCCCTCCAGAAGGATAGTCTCAGAACTCATGTAGGTCACCACTCTCAGGGGACCCTCAGGAAGTCACTCGTCTCCAGGCCACCTTTTCTTATCTGTAAAATGAGAGAATTGGACAACAGGCCATGTGACTTTTGGCAAACCTTCCCCCTCTCCCCACCCTCCAGGGTCTCCTTGGGGCAGGCCCAGCTCGTCTCTAGGACCCCCCAGCCTGTCCCAGGAAGTCAAGATGGTGCCCACTTCTGTCTGTGGCAAGGACCCCAGCCCTGCCTTGGGCAGGGTGAGGTAAACAGGAGGCCCCTGTTTCCTGCCGAGATCTTGGGGTGTGCTGGGTGCTCAGTGCATCTGTGTGGAATGAATGAATTATTTCATCAGAAGGGGGCCTACTCAGAGTCAGCCCTAGGTTGCTGCTGCTGTTGAAGCCTCTCAGGGAAGGAGACCCTTCTGGTCACTTGAGGGAGGTGGAGAGAAGTGGTGAAGGGCTGGCAATGGCATCCCTGCCAGGCTGTCTGGGTTCACATCTTGGTTGTGTGACCTTGGACTGGTTTCTTAACCTTCTGTTTCCTCATCTTTAAAAATTGGTTATAGTACTGACCTCATAGGTTGTGGTAAGATTAAGTGGATTAATTTACATAAAGTGCTTAGAACAGTACAGCTAAAGGTTAAATATCACTATCCATTTCATCACTCTTATTATGATTAGAGGGAGGCTTACAGGGAAGCACATGAAGATTAGGCATCCTGGCCTCTCCTGGGCACAGCCCTGGTGAAGGCTGGGAATTGCTGGGAGCTATAGAGTGTTCTAGGTGGGAGGGGCAGCAGTTTGCAAACAGGAACATTTCTATGTAAGTATTTCTGGTAAACTGTTAAACAGGGGCCTCATGAGAAAGGGGCATGGATTCCTAAGAATATAGGAATTTGTTGTGATTTCTTTTCTGATTCTAAATATATATTTGTAATGTTAAATAATTTTTAAAACAGGGCCTCCAAAATTGTATAAGCCTCAGGCCCTGCAACCTGAGCTGTTCCTGATTGTTTCTGTTATTGTGATTGTATTTCTGTGGCCCAGCCCTGTGCTGCCCACTTTGGTGGTCCTGACAGGATGGCCCAGCCTTGGGGTCCCAGGGACCTGTCTTCTCACCCTATGGACAGCGGTGTTATGTGCAGGCTGGCCTCTGAGCTGTAGTCTACACTTCACACCCCAGATGGAGGGAGCTCTGAGGGAGCAGACAAAGGAAAATGGGTACCTCAGGGAAGGTCTCTGAAGGAGTCTTCTCTGCATATGCAGGACACAGAGCCCTGTGCCCAGAGGCTTAGTGGCCAGCCCTGCTGCTCCTACTCACCCGGACTAGGTGTGGCAGGCCAGGCCCCTCTCCCTTCCCACTCCCCCTCGGTATGTGCCCTGGTGGACAGGCAGGGGCGGGTGGGGCCGTGGGAAGCAGGCTGCTGAGTTGGAACAGTCACCCCTACAGTGGTCGTTGAGTGGCTGGCTGTGCACCAAGCTTCAGGTTCCTGCCGGGTGCAGACCCAGAATGGTCCTTGCCCTCTGGGAGCTCTCCCGGTAACTGGGACCACAAGATTTGCACCTGGAAGGGCTAGGGGTGAGCAGGGGAAGGCTGTACTAGACCCATCTCTCTCCGAGAGGAGGCAGGAGAGCCCAGAGGTCGTGAGGGCTGGACCCTGGGGGAGGACCTCTGAGAGGACGGGCCCTCGGCTGGGGGGGGGGTGCTCCTAGGGTGGGCGCTGTGGGCCCTGGCGCCTCTGCCAGCAGCAGGGCCTCTCGGCCCGGGCTCTGACAGGGACATTTATAACTCACAGCTGTGCGGTCCTGGGCCCAACTGACTGTGGTAAACCGATCTGGCTTCAGGAAGTCCCGTCCCGAGGCCACTCCCCATCCCGACCCCCACACTCTCCTTCACCTCCTGACACCCACATCCTGTTCTCAGCGGGAGGGGCAGGCGGCGGGCACTGGGCCAGGGGCCCAGCCAGGGTCTCCAACCTGTGGGCAGAGTGGGAAAGGACAGAGAGCAGCAGTGAGGCCCCAGTGCTGCGGGGTGCCCACCATTGCCAGCCTCCTCTCAAAGCACACACAGGGAGGCAGAGGCCCAGAGGCAGTGCAAGGCCCCCAGGAGCCCACAGGGTCAGAGCGCCAAGAGCATAGGTTGTAGGGCTCAGGGGAATGTTCTGCGCCTCCAGATCTACCTAGAAAGGGGATTCGCCTTCTGGCCTCTGTGGACCCACTCCAGCCAAAAGGAGCCTGACCGGAGGGGCAGAGTGAACCAGAGGCCTCAGAGAATGCTGGGAAAGACGCCATTTTGGGCCCTGGGCCTTGGGCTGGCCCTCCTTTGGGACACCCCGTCCCCAAGATGCTTCGTGCCCATCCCACCTAGATCCTCCCAGCCTAGTTCAAGTGTGGGGCCAAAAATGGTCTTGCCCAGTGCTAGAAAGAGAGACAGTACTAAAGGCTGCAGCACACCATGGCTCTGACCCCTTACATCCCTTGGCCTGATACAATGACCAGTTCTTGGGCCCCATCAGCCAGCCCGCCCCTCCTCCATGCCTCTCCCTCTTCTTCTGCACAACGTTTGCCAAAGCTTGGCCCAGGTAAATCTGGTAGTCTACAGCAAGATTCTAGAATTAGATAGTACCCAACAGGACATACATTTTTGTTTTACTAGTTACAATTTATTAAAGAGTATCAGAAATATATAACTAGCCTATCAAATCAATTATTTCAAGGGCATGATTGCTTTGGACAAGGCCAGATTTATTGGAGCTTAAAAAAAAAGTGAGTGGAAGGTGAACATTAAATTAAGTCATCACACAGGTAGATCTCAGCTCAGACCAAGAATCCTAAAGAGCGTGGAGGAAGAGCTGAAGTTTGGGGAGCACAATCTAACTCATCACCAGGACTCTTTTCTGCTTTAAACTCTGCATCTGGGCCTCCTCTCCCAGTTATAAGCAAAACAGCCAGCCCTGAACCTTGTAGGAGGGGCAAGGGAGTGAGCTGGTTTTCCCGAGGTGCGTACACACATAAAATGGCTCCGAGTGTTGGTCAGGGATCTGGTGAGCAATTCATAATGAGGAAAGAATTCAGGCAGGGGTCACAGAGTGGCTTTGGAAGTGGCTGCCGGCCGGCCGTGTGAGATAATTCCCCGAAGCCAGGCACGGCGCAGAGAGGAGGCCACGGCAAGGGCTTTGTACACCCGGCTAAAAATACCCCCGACAGCTTCTCCCTGTCACCCTGCCTGGGGGCCGTACAGGAAAGTGATGCTGTTCTGCTTTTCCTACTAAGAAGAGAAAGACAACACAAAGTCCCCAGTCCTGGAAGAAACAAAACTTATATTTATATATTTTTCAAAATCCCACTAGGAGGAATTGGCTTGCTGGTTGGAGTGTGGCTGGGCGGGGAAGACACAGCCAGCTCTGATAAATCAGGCATCCCGGGGTGTGCTTAAGTGACCCAAGAGGCCGCTGAGATTAGCTTGGCGGCAGGGACAGAGGTGGGAGGGGAGTGGACGGCACACCGGCCTGCTCTCACACACGTCTCATCTCTCCCCTGTGTACCCAGGAGGAAGAGGAGGAGGCCCGTTGGCGTCGGACCAATGCTGCAAGGGGTGTGAGGAGAGGAGCCGCTGTTTTTCACTGAGCTGCCATACCCCGAAAGGTAACACCAGCCCCCGATGCCCAGGCCATACCATCACCTTTGCCTAAGCCTGGGCAGGGGCAAGCCCTAGCAGCCCAGAAGTGCTGTGGCTGGACCAGAGCTGAGGGTTTTCAGCTGCTTCTCACAGCCTTTCCTGGGCCTGGCTGCAGGGCCTCTCTATAACTCCTTGTGTGGTGCTCATACTGCCAGAAAAGGCTTCTGGGTGTCAGTTTGTCTGTCTCCAAAATGGGGCACTGGGCTCAGGTCCTGTACTTACCTCAGTTCTCAAGGATTCTGTGAGTCAGTTGTGTCTGATTTGGTTGAGCCATCTTAGCAGCCTGGCTCAGTTGGAACTCTAGGGCTGTAGCCAGGGGTCCCAGCCTTTGTGGATGCTGGATTCTAAGGCTACGAGGTCCACAGTGCCATGTGGGGCTTGAGAAGGGAGGATTTTCCAAAGCAGACCTGGCTGGAGATGTGCTTCACTGGGGATGTGGCTGTGGTCTCCTTTGTGGCAGCATTCAAAATTCCAAAGTTCTCCCTGTCAGCTCTGGGCAAGAATTATTATCTGCATTTTCAGACCACGAGAACAAGGCACAGGGAAGTTAATGGTGCCTGCCAGGGATCACACAGCTAGCTCTGGCCACGCCACAGCAGCTTGGCTTCATCCTATTTGCCATACCAGCTTCTATGCTTTTACTTCGACCGTACTGCACTCATCCTCTCAAGAGAAGTTCTGCTTTTGAGGCCAAGCAACCACTAGTCTGTATTGTGTGCCTGTGAGACCCATCCCTCCATCCATCCATCATCCATCCACTTACCTGTCCATCTCTCCATCCATCCCTCTTTCTTTTAGTCCTTCCACACTCATCCACCCATTCATCCCTCCACCACCTATCCGTCCTTCCATCCAACTACTTACCCACCCATTCCCCCCATCCACCCATCTATTTACTCTTTAATTCACTCATCAAATATTCATGGACTCTCACACCAGGCCAGGCCCGCATTAAGGGCTGGGGTTTTTGTTTTTGTTTTTGTTTTTTTGAGGCAGGGTCTCATTCTGTCACCCAGGTTGGAGTGCAGTGACACGAACATGATTCACTGCAGCCTCGACCTCCCAGGCTGAAGCGATTCTCCCACCTCAGCCTCCCGTGTAGCTGGGACTACAGGCATGCACCGCCACGCCCAGCTGATTTTTAAATTTTTGTGGAGACGGGGTCTCACTTCGTTGTCCGGGGGTGGGTTTTGAAGACAGAGCCAATTTAGCCCTGCCCTGAGAGGGTGTGGTGTGCAATGGAGTACGACTCAGATCCCAGAGCCAGACTGAGTTCCATAAGGCAGTGCTCAAAGCCTGTGTGGTGACCATGACGACACAGGGGACGAGGGAGAGGGGACGTGGCTGATTCTGCAGGCAGACATTCGGGGAGGAGGAGGCGGCATTGCTCATGCATTCATTCCCCAGGTGTTGACCGAGAAAGTCTGTCAGGAACTCTTTAAGTTCAGAGATATAGCAGGGAATAAAGCAGACAAAACTCCCTGCCCTTACGGCGCTTGTACTCTCGTGAGGAGGCATGGATGATAAATACCTAAAAAGTGAATAGGTCAGGTGACGCTAAGTTTTAAGAAGACAAATTTAGCCAGGTAGGAGCACAGAGTCTACAGTGTAAAGTACTCTTTCACTAGCCAAGGAAAGCTTTTTTTTTTGAGACAGGGTCTCACTCTGTCACTGTAACCTCGACCTCCCCAGCTGAAGTGATTCTCCCACCTCAGCCCCCTGAGTAGCTGGGACTACAGGCACACACCATCATGCCTGGCTAATTAGTGTACTTTTAGTAGAGATGGGGTTTTCCCATGTTGCCCAGGCTGGTCTCGAACTCCTGGACTTAAGTGATCCACCTGCCTCAGCCTCCCAAAGTTCTGGGATTACAGGTGTGAGCCACTCTGCCTGACCCAAGAAAGGCTTCTGTTAAGTTGGCCATTTAAGATAGCTGAATGCAGCCAGGGAGTCTGCAGGGATGTACTTGACCTGTTCAAAGAAATGCAAATAATCCAGTGTGGCTGGGAGGATGTCAGGATAGGGGGCGAAGTCAGAGAGATCATGGAGGACCCACTCCTGTAGGCGGACAAGTGTGGAGCAGAGAGATAGCTGGGAAGCTGTTGCCCACATCCAGGTAGAGGTGATGGGAACAGGGACGAAGGGGTAGTGGAGGAAGAGGTGGGAAGCCATCAAAGGCTGAATATATTTCAGAGACCCAGCAGGCAGGCTCGCTAGTGAATTAGAGGTGGAGGATTTAAAAAGACGGAGACAGTCAGGGAAGGCCCTTGGGTTTGGGACAGGAGCCAGTGGTAGAAGGGAGGTGGTTATTTGCTCAGCCAGGGACAATGGCCGGGGAGGGCTGCGTGAAGCTGAGGAGTTCTGTTTCAGACACATTGAGTTTGAGATGCCTTTGAGACGTTCAAGTGGAAAGATTGAGGGGGCAGCTGGAAATATGAGTCGGGAAGGCAGAGAGAGGTCCCAGACTAGAGATATAAATTTGGGAGTTGTCGTGGATTGATGGTGTTGCAAGTCGTGAGGCAGATGAGATCACTCGAGAGTGTGTGGCGCTTGAGAGGGTCAGGAGCCTGAATGTGAGTCACGGGGCACCCAGCCGTTTAGGGGAGTGAGTGGATAAGGGGTCTGCAGAGGAGCTGGAGAAGGTGCAGCCAGGGAGGGGAACAGAAAGCAGGCTCTGAGTGGACAAGCAAGACTCTGCTGGGCAGTGCATGGAAAGGACTCTGTATGCTGCAGTGGGAACAGCCTACACAAAGGCTCAGAGGCCTCAATAAACCAGCCATATTTGGAGAGGACTAATGGAGAGACAGGAGAGACCACACCGCCTTCCTGCCCACACTTGGCCACACAGGGGCTAGGGGCTGTGGGCAAGCGCATGCCTGGGCCCTCCCCGTCACCCTGGCCGGCACTCCCTGACCCTGGCCAAGCATCTTGCCCTGATGTCTGTCCACTTTCCCACTTTCTTCAGCTAGCACTATGGACCTCCCTCCTGCTTTCTGGGGCTCCTCCCCCTTGTCCAAAAACGCAGGGCTCCAGGTGGCAGGTCACATGCTGCCCATGGGGAAGAGGCACCGAGCAGCTCCCTATTGAGCACCTGAGCATGGTGTGGATCCTTTATCCTAAAAGATGTGAACCTTCCCAGGCCGCGAGTGAGTGTCAGAGCACCTGCTCCCAGTTAGGGGAGCTCTCTGCCTTTGGTGGGCAATCATATACGTGCGTGTCAGTGTTGTGTCACTTCATTCTTTCTCCATCTCTGTCTCTCTCTTTCTCAGCCTCTACTGCAAACATCAGCAGTGCCCCCTCCAGGCCAGGCCCCGGGCTGGGTAGGATCCCGAGGAACAAGTGTGCTCCTGACCTTCCAGGAGCTCCCCACCGCTCCATCTCTCCCTTGGCTCCTGAGTGTACCTTTTTGGTGCTCAGGAGCCTGAGCCTGACTTAGAATTCCAGCTTTGCCACCCACCAGTAGTATGTCTTGGGGTGCTGCAGCTGCCCTGTACTGCAGTTCACAGGAGAGGGCTCCCCGAGACTCTGGAAACAGACCCAGGAGCTTCTGAGCTATCCCTCTGCTCTGGCTGAGGTTTGACCCCGGGCCCACTCACCCCTCTCTCCACAGCAGAGTTGTGGGTCTTGTCAGATGCTCTTCCCCTTCAGCGTGCAGCTCTAGTCCCACCTTCTCCAGAAAGCCTCCCTTGACCACTCTGAGGTCAACCAGTGTTTCCTAAGCACCTGTGTTGTGCCAAATGCAGGGCTCGAGTCAGGGTGTGCAGAGATGACAGTGGAGGGTTTCTGCGCTGAGAACTGGCAGTCCAGATGGGGTGGTGGGGGGACAGGTAAAGAACCCACACCTTCCAGCATAACAGTGAGCACTGCAGGTGCCCAGCAGAGAGAACGGCCTTGACTTGGTCAGGAACGGCTGCACACAGTATAGCTGCCCTGAACAAGGCCAGAGGCCGGGCAGGTGTGCAAGGTGTGATAGGGGCTGGGGGGTGGGGGTGGAGAGAAGAGTGTGTCCAGGCGAAGGAGACTCGGGAGCACAGTCCAGCCCGTCTGCAGAGTGAGTGCGGTCTGACATGGCCAGGACGTGAGAGGAGGCTCAGGAGACTTTTCCAGGCTGAGAATTGAATGGAGCCAGGCAGGGACTTGTGGACCTCCTCTCCCTCGGGAAAGTCAGGGGGAGATGCCCCTCCAACTCTGCATCGGGGACTAGGGCAGCAGCAGCAGCTGCTCTGATGATGCATGGCTCCGTGGCAGAGCGGTGGCAGGAGGCTTCGGGTAATCTCATTAGTGTGCCCGGCGGAGGGGACGAGTAATCCCGTGCCTTTAGACTCACTTTTCTTTAAGCCTGTCCCTATCCATTCTCTCCCTAAATCCTTGTACTGCTTTGGTGACATCAGGCGGGACTGGACTGGACTTACCTCCATTGAACTGATGGGTAAAACAGGGTTAGAGAGGAAAATTCTTGCATGATGCCATAGCTCACAAGGGGCAGGAACTGCATCCGTCTGACTCCAGAACCCATGCTCTTATAATCCTCTACTATCTCCCAGACTGTCTTAGACTATCCAGGCTTATAGACTGCCTCCCCACTGGCCCCATTTTGCAGGTGAGGAAACCGAGGCCCAGAGAAGGTAAGACACTTGCCTAGGGCCACGCAGCAAGTCAAGGACAGCACTGGCACCAGAAGCTCACCTGGCCTGTTTGTGTCCCCACCCCACCCCACAAGCAGGCACAGGGATCCCCCTGGTCCCTGCCCATTTCTGCCTGGAGCACCCACTGTGCTTGGTCTTCCTGCAGTCTTTGGCACCGGCTCCGGTGGAAGGCACCAAGTTCCTCATCAGAAGGCTCCATTGTGCCTATTGTTTAAATATAGATTACTAATGAAATGCCTTTTCATTGCCTTCCCAGTGAATAGTTTCCGTGTAAAGTTAATTTGCAGTGTTATGTAAATTCTGTTTAACTTCAATCAAGTTTCTAATTATGTTTTTACCGCAGTAATTCCCATTTGATTTGTCATCTCCTGTTAGGTATTCAATGTTCGGTGGGCGGGCTTGCTTTCCGTCTGCCTCTCAGTTTTCCAAGGCCCTGACCTCCTCTCTGCTGTGTGTCTGTCTCCGTGGCTCCTGGCTTCTTCATCCACTTCGGCTTCTTGGTGGCTCATTTCCCACCTCCTCGCCATCCCTCCATCTATCTCCTGCCCTCCACCTTCCTTCTTTCTTCCTCTTGCCCAGCTGCACCTTCTTCCCCTTCTGTTTTCTTCTTCTCTGTCTCCCCTCCTCCCTCCTTCCTGCCCTCTTTCCCCCTCCCCCTCTGTCTGTGTCTTCCTTCTCTGTATCTTCTTTCTGTATCTTCCTTTCTTCTCTCTATTCCGCTCATGGCCTTGCCTCTCACTCTTCCTCCCTTTCTGTGTCTTTCTCCACTGACAAGACTCTCTCCTGCCTCCTCTGCTCACATTTCCATCCCAGTGCTCCTCCTCTCCTGAGGTCTTCTCTCCCTCCTCCTCCACAGTAGAGCCTTTCCCGAAGCTGCATTCCGGAGTGCCTGCGAGGTGTGCTGGGCTGGGGGCTGGGGCCACCAGAGGAGCCCTGTGCAGCCCTGAGTTGTTGGGGTGGGGGATTGGTGAAGAACACAGAGTCTAGGGTTGGGGTCTCCGGGTTCAAATCCCACCCCACCCCTTGTTAACTGTGTGACCTTCCGGTTAGTTCACATTGATTTCTGTGCTGCATCCATAAAATGGGGTGATAATTTTACCTGCCTCCACAGTAAAGCCCTTCCCGAGGCTTCATTCTGCAGCCCTGAGACAGTGGGGTGGGGGATTGGTGAAGAACACAGAGTCATGGAGTTATTGTGAGAAGTCAGTGAGATAACCTATGTGAAGGGCTTTAGCGGAGGGAGGGGCTTGGCCAGAATTAGCCTTTTTACTTTCTTAAGAGACAAGGTCTTGCTTTGTCACCCAGGGTGGAGTGCAGTGGCTCACTGCAGCCTTGACCTCCCAGGCTCAACTGACCCTCCCACCTCAGCCTTCTGAATACCTGGGACTATAGATGCATTCCAGCATGCCTGGCTAATTTTTAAAATTTTTATTAGAGACAAGGTCTCACTATGTTGCCCAGGCTGGTCTCAAACTCCTGGGCTCAAGCAGTCCTCCCATCCCAGCCTCTCAATGTGCTGGGATTATAGATGTGAGCTGCCACACCCAGCCCAGGAATTAGCTTTTATTTGGGAACTCTTGGCCATGCCTTTCATTTTTTGCGGCCTTCCTGAGATGCATCTGCAGTGAGTTTCTGGAGTCCTGGGGGTCAGGCCTGAGGCCAGGGAAGGGTGGGAGCTGGCTGCAGACCCCCATAGAGCTGGCATTTCCCGCTCCCCACTCTCCACCCCTCAGCCTTCCTCCCCTAGAGCAGGGTCTCCGCTCTGCCTGTCAAGAGATGTGGCGTCCTTCTGTCTTAGTGGGCCCATCTCAGGCTGTGAGGACAAGCCTGCCACCCTGGGGTAGTAGCGGAGACACAGATCCCCAATGCTGGAAAAGTGCTCAAGACTCTGGCCCGCAGACCTTTCCCAAGCAACAGACCAAAGGCAGAGCCGCTCCTGCTGAGTTGGACTAGACACCCCCTTCTTCTACCCTCCCTCACCCCCTAGATGCCCCAAAGGCTATAATATACCATGGACTCCAGCTACAAAACCACTGGTCCAGGTGCAGCATGTTGGCAGCTCTGCCATTTATCACAGGGACTTCTCTCTGAGCCTTGGCTCCCCTCCTGTGTGGCCCCAACGTTGGGCTTTGGGATTCTCCCTGAGTTTGGGGATTGTCCCTGTAGTCAGGGAACGGCTGGGTGGCCACAGTTTCCCAGCAGACATCTGCCCTCTGGGTGGGGAGGGCGGAAGGAAAACACCAGACACAGGCAGGGCTGGGGCTGGGCGGGTGCTCTGCCCCCTCCCTCTGCTCCCGCTTCCGCCCCGACTCTGCTGGGCTTCCCACCCAGCAAACCCCTGGCACATCCAGGAAGCAGAAAACAAGTGCTTGGGGAGGGCATTCTTCTGGGTGAAGAAGGGCAGCCGGTCACTTGTCCTTCAGAGACACAGAAGCCTGGGCCACATGACTACCTGACCCACAAGTGGCTGTGCGTGTGTGTAGTGTACGTGTGTGTGTGTGTGTGTGTGTGTGTGTATATCCCTGTCCCTGGCCAAGGAAACCTTAGCCATCACGTGGCTGGTTTCTCTCGCTATTTGTCCAAGTAAGCAGTTCAGGCCAGCTGCAGCCAGGAGGCCGTGACACAGAGCCAGGGAGAAGGGCCACATTGGTGTGGGTGGTGGCAGCGAGGATCGCCATGGGCATCAGGGAGCCCCGAGCTGGGTCCTAGAGCTCTTGGGCCTCAGAATCTGGTATGGGGAGGCCTGGGCTGGGGAATGGCCTTGTTCTGATCCTCTGCCCTCCCTGGACGACTGACCTCCCTGCCCCAACCCATCTGTCAAGAAAAGGCACAGAGCTTGATAACAGAGAACTCTCTCAGCCCTAAATAGAGAGGGTGGGCACCTTCTGACCAGGGGGAGCCGAGAAAGACAGAGTCCTCACCAGAGAAAGGGACACACATGGGCACAACCACCATGTGTATGGCCCCTGGAGTGTGCTTTAGAGCCCTGGCCTCCGTGGCAGGAGTGTGGAAGCCAGGCCTCCCGTGTGCATCCATCAGGCCACTGAATTATTAGCACCTACTGTGTGCCAGGACCTGGGCTAGGCAGGGATAGGGGTTGTCAGAACACAGACCTTCTGGAAACTTCGTCAAACCCTCGCCTCTGTGACATATTTTCTTCCCATTGGATGGGCAGCATCACCTTTCATTGCAAAACCCCTGTGATCTTGTCATGAGCTGGCCATTTCCCACCCCACTGCCATTCCAGGAGGATGCAACCCCTACATTGTTGCAGGGCTCAGGAAGAGCAGTGAGAGGCACCGCCGAGCCTCTCATGGACCAAGCAGGTGTTTCTAGCCAGGGAGAGTGTCCCCTTCCTCTAGGGAGGTGTGAGCCAGACCCTGGGCTTCCAAAGCAAATGTGTGCATGTGGGCAGAACACAGAGGCCCTGGGCTCGGACACCTGGGGGCCTTCTCCTAGCCCACATGGGGAGCAGAGCACCAGGGGAAGTGGCAGCTGCAGAGTGGGGCCTCCCCAGGCCTTCATCGAGGTTTGTCAGCCTGCATACTGTGTCTTGCATAGATGACACCATCTCTGGGGGCCTGGAGGAGGAGGGCTGTGGTGGCTTTTTGGGGCCATGCTTCTGAGAGCCCACCTGCATTCATGTGTCTGTTTGTCCACCTCCTCCCTGCTTCTTCCCTCTTTCCTTCCTTTGACAAACATTTCCTGGCAGCCAAGTCTGTATGGGGCCCACGCTCCACAAAAGATACATCCCTCACCCTGCATGATCACGGCCGAACTGGAATCCAGCAACATTCCAGGGTGGGCCCAGGGCCAGGCCCAGGTAAGGCCTAGGAGAGAGCTGGCTCTTGGCTAGGAGGCAGGGCATGGCTGACCCCACAGGCTCCCCTGGGTTCTGAGGAAGCTTAGGCGTACTTCCCCAGGATAGGCCAACGGCAGAGCCCACCAGGTGCCTGAGACAAGGGGGTGTAGAGAGCCAGCATCAAGGCCACACAGAGCATCATCAGACCTTGTCTCTGTTGTGATGAGGTCTAGGGTATTCAATCTGGAAGAGTCCCACAGGCTCGTGTGCTCAGGCTGTTCTAGGAAACGCCTGTCCGGAAAAGGGGTGGAGCTGGGTGGCCAGGGCTGAGGGTGACGCAGATCCGCCATCATGCCACCTACAACTGAATGTGGATTCTGGGCCGGGGTTTTTAATAAAGCTGCTGGGTCAGCATCCCAGAATGCTGCCTAGGCCTGTATGTCCCCAGCCTCAGCTTGCATATCTCTGGGGTCACGAGGCTTACTACTGCCGTCTTGTAGTTCCTCCTGGGACATGGGGTCCTGGCCTCCCACCAGGCTGACGCTGACTTCTGTCTTCCACCCTGCTTGTCTTAGGGCCACAGACTTTAGGCCCTTGGCAGTTTCCAATTGAGTCCCTCCCGGGCTTTCCTCCCTGCAGGCAGAGCATCAAGCTGGGTCTGTACGTGGCCCCGCCAGGGCCTGTTTGATTGGGGTAATCTGGACAAGTCATCAGTGGCCTGCGCTGGCAGCCAGGGTGTGGCTAAAGTCAGTTCCTGCCTAAGCTGGGCTGACCCACCTTCTCACCACTCAGGAGCTCCCGGAGCCAGGAGGGACTGCTGTGAGTTTGCCTTCATGAGGAGGCCCTTGGGCTGCCTTTGGTACAGGCAGGAGACCTGGATCCCTGCTCTGTCCCTATCTCTGTCCCTGTCCCTGGGGTAATCTCGAGCAAGGCTGGGCCCCAGGCAGGCCCACACCCCCTCCCATCTGTGTTCATCCCCAGCACTAAGCCAAGAGGCTTTTGTCCCTGGTGGGCTGTCGGCCAGCTGGAAGAGTCCTCCTTGCTCTCTGGCCTATTTGCTTTCTGAGTCCCTCTGCCCTGGGAGAGCATGAATGGGCAGGAGAGGGGACTGGAGAGGGCTGAGGGCCTCTGTTCAGATCTCTGCCCTCACTGGGTCGGGCTGCCAACCTCTGCACTCCCACCATACCCCCAACCTGTGGACAGGTGAGCCTCCAGTTCCTGAGGCCACAGGGAATGGGCTGGATTCACCTGGAGGCCATGGGTAGCCTTGCAGCCCCTGGGCCAAGCTCCCCTCCCACCCAGACTCCTCCAGACACTTCAGGGGTTCAGGCATGCCAAGTCAGGGTGGGGTGAAGGGGTCTTTCTCTAGGCGCTGTGCCTGTGGTTGACATCACGTTGTCCTCATGTGGGGCTGCGTGGCCCCGTGGGGTGGCACGCCTTCTGCAAGAGCTCGCCCTCCAGGAAGTTCTGCATTCGAAGCCTGAACTTGGCCTTGGTTCACTCTTCCTCTCATCCTGGTCTCTTGGGCATGACTTCTCCCAGGGGACACTGCTGTCTGCTGACTTGGAAAGGCAGGGATTCAATCAGGGGCCCCCGCTCAGCTGTGTCTGAAGTGTGCCCTCCTGGGAAGAAAACCCAGCAGCACTTTTGTCGAGGCCTCACACTGGAAAATGAACGGTGGGAGGCCTAGAGGTAAGAGGCCAAAGGCCACTAAGCAGGCCAGCGTGGCCTGCCCACTCCAGCCCCCAGAAAGCATTGGTGCTTCTGAGGAGGCTTGCTCGGCCCTCCCTCTCCCCTGGGCTGGGTGGGGCCAGTGGGACAGGAAGCCAGGGCGGGGCTGGAGGATGGGGCTCAGGGTGGCCTGGGCCTGAGCCAGGGATGAGGCGAAACCCAACCCTGGCCTGGCCCCGGGCCGCAGCCGTGCAGGTCACTAGGCCTCGGCGAGTGGCCACCCGCCCACCCAACAGGAAGCCCTGCCCAGACACCACCTTTGCCCCACCCCGTATTCTCTACGGCTGGCACTTCTCCTATTTCCCATGAGAGCTGCTGCCAGGAATCCTGCCCTCTTGAGAAAGGAAGCCCGACCTCGGGCCGCCCTGCCTCTGGCCTGCGCTGACCCCCTCCCTGGGCCTCCCCGTGGTGGCAGCTCTGGGCCCACGCCCGTCCTGCACCCCCCACACATGCTAATGACTTATCTCCTCTCAGACAAAGCCTGTGACCCTTGGGGACCTAGCAGGAGAAACCTCACAGTGGGACTAGGCCTGGGAGCCAGGAGGCTGGGGCTCTTGGTCTGGGATCCTCCACCAACCTGCTGGTGCACCTGGGCAAGTCACTCAGCCACTCTGGGTCTCATCTGTAGAAAAACAGGGAGAGGCAGACGCTCTGCCCAGCAATGAGCATCCCATGGGATAAAGGGTTTGGGGTGGGTTGAATGTGTGCCCTGTGAAGACAGCCAGGCTTGGGGGGTGATAACACAAAACCTCCCCATCCACCCCTGTCTGCCTGGAAAGGAGCCCCTTCTCTCATCTCCCAGAAGCCGGGCGACGGAGCATGCCTCCGTCTCTCAGCTCTGCTCAGGGAGCTGGGCCAGAAGCAGGGATGGGGCTGTGCTGAGGGGCAGGCTGTCCCACCACCCTCCCAACCCCATCCTCTTCCTCCCTCCTGGTGGGTGCTCTCTGACCCATGACCCACCTCCCCAAGTAAGCCCAAGCCCACCTCAGTATCAGCAGGGGTAGCAGCTTAGGGAATCAACTGTGTCTTAAAGGGGGCCAAGCAGAGGGGTCAGGGCACCACGGGGAAAGACCAGAGTCGTTGTGACATTGGATGGGTTAAGACAGATCCGGGGGCCACCTTGAGCTCCTGGGCGAGCTGAAAGCTTGTCAGCAGCAGGGAAGACCAGGCACCTGAGCAGCCAAGCCCCTGCCATGGGGTGGCCACAGCTCAGACTCTGGTGGCCTTGGACACATTGCTGCTCTGAGCCTCAGTGTCTGCATCTGGCAAGTGGACCTTTCAGAGCCAGTGTCTTAGGGTGCTGTGAGAAGTCCTTAAGATTTGGGGACACAGTGCTGGGCCCCCTGCGGCCCTTCCCTTTGAATCAGCCTTTTCCCTGTGAGGGAAACATTACAGGTCAGGATTAGGACTAGATTTCGTAGGCAGTGGGGAGCCACTGAAAGTTCTTAGAGGAGTAGTGAGTTCATGGGGAGAGGAACCGGCAGCAGAGAAGCCTGGCACACTCATCCGGTGTTGGAGCCCTGATTCAAGAGGGGTCATGGGGCAAAGAAAGTTAGCCCAAGTGGGTGTCAGCACCAGCTGGGCTTGGGAGGCCTCAGTTTTCCTCCTGTAGCTGGGTGCCTGTCCGCAAGGCTGGAGAGGCGCTGCTCAGAGCCAGCACTGAGGGTGGCACCACCACCCCTCCTTCTTCCTCTGGTGCCCCTGAGTCCCACCGGCGTGGGGTTGTCTGGGTTTGCCACTCAGGCCCGGGTGGGCCCCACTGCCTCTCCCTCCCTCCATGGCTTTCTAGCTCTGAATGGGAGTGGACTCTGGAGGCTGCAGTGGGCTGCGGGATGTGAGCCAGGGTGGGGGCATTGGCGGTGGGTGGAGTCACGGGCTGGGTGGCCATGAGTCAGGAATTGCTGGGCCTGTGTGTCATCTGGCTGCGTGCTGTGCTGGCTCCTCCCGCCTGTCTGCCTCATCTCGCCCGCCGCCATCTGGGCCCCCTGGGCTGCTCCACCAGGTGATGGTGCTCTGCTCTGTTTATAAGAGTTCAAAACGTAGGATGGAGTAGTCAGGGGACCGGGCTCTAGGGCCCAGGCTCCCCCAACACCAGAGGTGACCTTGGGCAGGTCCCCTTCCTCTTCTCTGAGCCAATTTCCCCCATTGAAGAGTGGATATTAGGCTGGCCAAGGGATTTCAGCCATGGCCCCAGATGAGATCCGAGGCAGCTTTGAAAGATAGCCCAGCCCAGTACAGTGGCTCACACCTGTAATCCCAGCACTTTGGGAGGCTGAGGCAAGAGGAGCACTTGAGCTCAGGAGTTTGAGACCAGCCTGGGCAACATGGCAAAACCCTGTCTCTACAAAAAATATAAAAAATTAGCTGGGTGTGGTGGTGGGCGCTTGCAGTCCCAGCTACTTGGAGGGTTGAGGTGGGAGGATCGCTTGAGCCCAGGAGGTCGAAGCTACAGTGATCAGAGATTACACCACTGCACTCCAGCCTGAGTTACAAAGTGAGACTCTGTCTCAAAAAAAGAAAAGAAAGAAAAAAGATAACCCACCCCAAACAAGTTAAATCAGATCTCCGGGGCGGGGCCTGCGGCCAGGCTTGAAAGCTCTAGTCTGGATGGCCTCAGACGGGCTGCTTTCTCCGCCCTGCCCGGATCCCCAGGCAGCACTGTGGGCTGGTGCATGGGTTCTGGAGCCCAGAGGCTGTGCTGAGTACAGCTCTACCACTTTCTAATACTGGGCAAGTGAATTCATGCCTCTGAGCCTCTGTTTCCTCATCTGTGAGATGGGGCTAACACCACCCACCTTATAGAATCTGTACCAGTGTCAGCCACCATGTTCTTTGATCTAAGCCAGTTATGCACCACTGCTGCCTTCACTGCCCATTCATTCTTCCAGAAAATATTCGGGGATTCCTGGACCTGCCAGCCTGGTACTGGGTGCTGTGGCAACAGGAAGAGGAAACCCACCATGGGGGTCCAGCCTTTTAGGCCTTTCCAGGGCCCCAGAGGATGGGTTCTGTCTGTTGATGGGCAGGTGAAGGGTGACTCCCCTGAGAATCTCACCGTGTCGCTGGACTGAGGGAACCCCTCTTTCTGAAAGAACGAATGAGACCCCAGATTCAAGGGAGAAGAAGGGGCATCCTAGGACTTCCCTGACAGCCTCAGCTGGGAAGCCCCTGGGGAGGCTCTGAATGCCTTCTGGGGTGGGCCCTGGGCCATGCTCTGGGCAGATGCTGGCTCAAACAGGGCTGGCAGTAGACAGAACAGAATAAGGACCCTCCTCCTTGTAGTCCATCACTGGGCTGGACTATGTCCTCCATCCCGTGGTCCTCCTGGCAGCCCAGGGCATTGGCAGGCATCGTTCCTCCTGCTTGGCAGATAGAGAGACAGAGATGTCAAGGGATGGGAGGCACTTGCCTAGGTCAAGGGCTGGATTTGAACCTCACTTCTGTATAAACAAAATCCCAGTGGGGAAAGTCGAGCTTCCCTGGGAATCTGCCCTGGTGGGACTAAAACGTGATCGGCAAACCTGTCATCCCCTTTCTTCCCTGGCCTTCCAGCAGGTCCCCTGCAGACCACCACTGGCTGTCCTTGCGGGAGAGACCTGATGTTCCTGTAAATAGCAAGTGCTCCTGTTGCCTGGGCTCTGAAAGCCAGAGGTTGAACCATGCACTTGTCACCCACTAAACCTTCTCCCTCCTCATGACCCATTGGAGAAACTGAGGCAGAGAGAGGTGCAGGGACTTGGCTAAGGCCATGTGGCTTGTGAGCCGGCCAGGATTTCATCCAGGCCTGGGTGAGGTTAGAGCCTGTGCCCAGACCCGCCACCACCCGCTAGCAAGAACAGGACTTTCCTTTGTCCGGCATTTTTAACTCTGGGTCTTGGCCATCACTTCAGACTGGCCTGGCCCACGTGTGGCCAGAATCCCAAAGGGATGCCTGTTTGGGAAGCGTGACCGCCAGGGGGCTGGCACCTGGCCCAGGAAGGGGGTCATCGAGAACACTCAGTGCTCAGTGGTTTGTGTGTGCCACCGACAGTGCCTGTGCCCTTCAGTGCCACGACCTTCCTGTGCCAATCATGGGTATGATGTCAGTTCATCTAATCCTTGAGCTGCAGTTAGCCCCAGATGAGGAAACAGACTGGAGGGATAAGTGACTTTCTTGTGGGCCAATATTGGACCCCCTGGGTCCTCAGTTGGACCTCCAACACCAGAATGGACCTGGGTTCCATTCTGGTCCACAAACCCCCTTTGGGTTTGTGTCCCCTTCTCTGTAGGGTGGCAGGCTTGCACTCAGAGCTTCCCAAGGACCTCCAAGGACTCTGCTGAGAGCCTCTGCCAGGCCCATTTAATGCTGCAGGGCATTTAGGATTGGGGGCCTCCCAGAGGTGGGATGGGGTGCCCTCTAGGGCAGCCCTCAGAAGCATAGGGCCAGGTGGTTGGCACCAAGCAGAGTGGGCAGAGGCAAGAGGCAAAACTTCTAAGAGAGGCCACCAGCAGGAAATTCCACTTAGAACCCTGGCATTGCAAGTGGCAAGGGCCCAGGTGGGTGCCGGGGGACCTGGTCTGGCCACCCCCAGCTAGGCGCCCCTTTAAGCAAGACCTCGGTCCCTGGAAAAGGGATGGCTGTGCCCACCCTATGGGGCCTGATGAGTGGTGGGTGTGGAAGGGAGTACCTGGCACGGATTTTGCACCTGGAGGATGCTTGACACCTTAGGCTGCTTCTGTGGAAGAGGAGGTGAGGACCCTGTCCTGGGAGCAGGTGGTTCTACGAAGCCCAGCTGTGGGGGTCTATGAAGCCTCTCCTGAGTTGGTCTCGGACTCATCTTCCCAGAGCCATGGGTCTTTCTCTATCTCTGTGATACGGGGTTCAGTGCCCCCATCCCAGCAGGACCCCAAGTCTACACTGGGCAGCAACCCTGAGCCAGTGATAATAATGACTTATGGCCCCTGTTTACGGAGCATTTCCTGTGCACGTGCATATGGGCCTAATCTTGTTATGTCCTTCAACAACTCTGTGAGAGTAGTGACTCTTAGTATCCCCCATTTTACAGATGAGGAAACTGACCCAAGTTCCTAGCCCAGTATCACGCAGCTAAGTAAGTGTCAGAGCTGAGGCCTCTCTGATGCATCGGAACCTAGATGCATTGGAACCCAGAGAGGCCACCATTCTATGCTGTGCCCTCATCCCTTGATTAAAGCAGAAATTGTTCATTTGGTGACTTGGGGAGAAGGGAGCCCCATCCCTCTTCCTCAGGTTTGAGCGGGCCACCTGTCAGAGTTCAAGGCCTCTTTGATTGCTTGGAGGTGTTGGCTGGGGCAGTCGGGACAGCTTTCCCCCTCCCTTTCCCAGTTCCAGGTCTGATGCAAACTCAAAGGAAAGGGAAGCCAGTCCCTGACTGGGCCTGAGTCATTTGTTTCTGAATCCTAGTTTGAATCCTAGTTCCCGTTTTTATCATGGTGTGATCTTGGCTGGGCCCTTCCCTCTCTCTGGTCTCAGTTTGTCTCTGTTCAAGTCCAGCACCAAGGGACTAGGTTGGCAGGGGCCGGAGGCCAGACAAGCCACGCATGTGCACCACCAGCCAGGGCACGGCTGAGGCAGGACGGGCAGAAGTCATTCCTGGGGCCTGGGCGATGCTGCATGAGCTCTTCCTCCAAGAGGAAGTGTCCCTCCAGCTTGGCCCTGAGAGCACAGTAGATCAGGACTGGACAGGGAGCAAGGCCTTGGAGAGGCCCCCAGGGATGTGTGCATGTGCCTCTGCCCCACGAATGCAGCTGCGCCCTGCTCACTGATGCCCTCTGCAGCTCTCTCTTCAGCCCAAAGCTCTTCTCCCTAAAAGCCTCTGGGCCTTTGCCCAGGGAGAGGTACCCTCCTGCCTGAAAGACTGCCCGAGGGACGGTGGCTCTGCCCCCCATTTTGCTTCCAGGCCGAGCTGGGCTGGCCCGCCAGCACTCTGTGCACATGCCCCTAGTTATCTGAGGATTACCCATCTCCTGTGTCTTCCCCACTGGTGTCACACAGTGTGTGAGCACCCTGGGGAAGCACAAAGGCTGGGCAAGTGCTGACCTTTGGCCCCGTCCCCACCCCTCCCACCCCTACTCTTTACCTCTTCTCCTTCTTTTCCTTCTCTGCCAGATAGCAGGCATTGTCATCAGTTGTTTTTAAATAAAGAAATGAATGAATGAAATGAACAACTTCTAGAAGTCACTTTATAGCCCCATTTTTGAAATGAGGAAACCAAGTCGCAGGGATGTTAGGTGGGTGGGGAGGGTAGTTCAGAGACCCCCCCGCTGCTCTTCCCCAGTTCTCACTCTTTGGGTCCCCACGGTGCCAGGTTGGGGACCCTAGGTTTGCGTGGCATGTCCTCTGGCCACAGGAACTTCCCACACATGGAGGCGTCCTGAGGGCCCAGCAGCAGGTACCAGCCACGACTTCCCACGATCTCAGCTTGCCAGGCCTGCACTTTTCTCACCTGGTGTTCCTGCCTTCCCAGCAGGTCAGCCCAGAGCTGCCTGTCCGCCCTTCCCTGGCCACTTTCGAGCCTTCCCCATGGGAGAGAGAAAGGTGAGGGAGCCGAGGGGCATGTGGCAAGGAGCGGAAAGCAGGCCCAGCAGGCAGGCTGGGCTTCCAGGGCTGGGCTTCGGAAGACAGTGCCTACTGTCTGCTGGAGGGCATCCTGGAGCCTCCTCACAGGAGGTAAAGATCGACAGGATGATTGAACCAAGCGTACCTCGGGACTCTTGGGCAGCCCCGCCCAGGACTTCCCGCAGACCCCAAACTACCAGCTTCCTAGGTCCTCATTCATTTCTGTTCCTTGAGGCCAACTGTAGTTACTGCTCTTCGGTGAAAAGATTGAGAGGATATGCAGTTCTCCCAGAGCACCAAGTCCCTGGGTTCAGCTCTGCTGTGCCTGGAATGAGGACTACCAGGTCCCTGTCCTTATGGGCCTCGAGGCTGAAGAGATAAACAGGCACCTAATTTTAATTATGCAAGCGAAAAGAAACACCAGCATGTCTGGAAGTTCAGGGAGGGTACCTTGGAGGTGGCTCTCAGAGAAGGCAGCATGGAGGAGGTGGCTCTTTGAGCATTGAAGGATGGATAGGGTTCCAAAGGACAGTGACGAGACGTAGAGCTGCACAAGGCGCCATGTAGGGGACTGCGGCTCCTGTTCTGCCACTGTGTGATGTGTGGCCTTTGCTCTCTGCTGAGCGATTTCTTCCTCTGTAAAGTGGGACCTTACAGCTCCCTGGTGACAGGATTGTGCTGAGGATGGAGTGATGGAGTGGGGCAGTGAGAGCTACCAGGGTTATTGAGGAAGGAGCCTGGCAGGTGGGAGAATCTACCACGTTTGAGCAGGTTGAATGGTTCTCTCTGCAGGCATAAGGGGTGTGTGTGTGTGTGTGTGTGTGTGTGTGTGTGTGGTCAGTTGGCAGCAAGTGTGAACAGCTGAGGCCTAATGACAGGAGCTCTGAGGTGGCATTGGTGCCACAGAACCCTGGGGCAGTGTGACCCTCTCCCCTTGTTGTCCATGGGGAGGTCCTTGCTCCGGCCAATGTCCAGCTCAATGTCCAGAGCACCCTGGAGCCTCCTCTGGTGGGTGCATGGCTGGAGGGGTGATTTAGGGCTGCTTCATCCTTCTGGCCCGTGGGCCTTGGCCTGCACCCTGGCCCAGGCTGGGTCTGGCTCTTCCCTGTGTCTGGATCCCCACCCCCAGCTTGGTGAGGTCAGGGAACAGGTATTTCAGGAATGCAGGAGGCGGGGCAGCCAGCCCCATTTGGATAACCATGGGGTAAATATTTGCCTTGCTCCTGGAGCCAGCACTGGCCCGCCAGGGGAGGACAGGGGCCTGTCCCTGGGGTCATGTAAGGGGATGTGTGTGGCGGTGGGGTTCTCCAAGTTGGGGAATCCCCTGTCACCCCAAGAGTCTGCCTGTTGCCTGACCAGCAGCTGTTTGGCACATCTGTAAAATGACAGTAGAACAGCTCAGGCGCCTGAGGATCAGTGTAGCGGGAGCTGGTTCCGCCAGCTTGGCCAGGGGAGCGGCGGGTTGGACCAGATGTGGGTGGACACCCTTGTGACCACCGTTCTGATCCCCACTTGGCCACTTATAACCTTGAGCAATTACCCTGATTTGGATGGGCACCATGGGCTGAGCTTTTAACTCCTTGGTGTCTGCATCTGCACACCCCGTATCTTGTTAAGGCCTCACAGCTATCAGGGCCAAGGCACGTGTGTGGTCAGCAGCAAGCATGAAGAGCTGAGGCCTGGTGATGGAAGCCCTGAACTCCAGGTTGAGGGTGCCCTGGTGTAACCCCTGCCCAGCACAGCACCCAGGGCCATCTGCCCCCTCCCCCAGTGCAACCTGGAGCCTTCTCTGGTGAGAGCCAATGGAGGGCGGTCGGCCCCTGCTTAGAGAGGAGCTGGGGGCTTAGAGAAGCCTAGTGACTTGCTCAAGGTCACCCAGCAAGTGTTCAAACCCAATTCTACCCACTCTTGCCCTAACCCTTGAGGCCAGGGCCAGGGCTTCAGCCCCAAGTGTGGACTCCCAAGCCTTAGCAGCTGTAGAGAGCAACTGGCTACTTAGCCGCAGCCCTGGAGCCACCCCTGGTCCTAAATTTCGGGCACCACTGCCCTCCAGGCATCCTGGATTGACTGATCCTGCATCTCTCTGGGTCAGACTCAGCCCCGGGTCAACATGACCGAGTGCCTCCACCCCAGCCCACACCCAGGTCCTCCCAGGGATCCCTGGAGGTGGGGCTGGGAAGGTAGATATGATGGGGGGAACCCCTCTTAGTCCCAGGACAGTCCCTACCCCCAAGTGACATCTGCCTTGTCTGAGACTCAGCCTTGTCACTTTCCAGCTGGACACCTCTGGCAGCCCCATCCTTCTCAGTGTCATGTTCTGCAAAGCAGGAGTGAGTCCTGGCCTCCCCTCCCCCGGGAGCTTCAGATGCACTGTGAGAGTGAGGGGTGTTTCAGGCTGCTGTCGGCACGCTGCCCTTTCTGGCCTCGCAGTGAGAAGCTGCCGTGTGGTCAGGGTCTCACACACCCCAGAAGTGAGAGTGCTGTGCTGAGGGTGCCTGGGAGAGCTATCTGAGCATTGGGGTCCCTGCCTCATGGGGAGATTGGGTGGGCTTCCACTGGCCTTGAGGCTCAGGCTGCACTCACTCCGTGGCACCAAGGCCTTTCCACAAAAGAGCGCTCCCCTCCAGCCCCTCGTGGTTTATCCTTGCGGTCTGACCAGGCTGGGAGCAAACGGGGCTACACCTCGTCTCCTGCCCTCTCTTCTCCCTGAACTCCCCAGGAGGCCAAGCCCACACAGGCTGTGGGCCTCGGCTAAGGCACCAGCAGAGCTGTGGTGGGTGTGCACAGCATGGCACAGGCTCCTGGTTCCTGAGCCCCCCTTTCGCAGCATGAGGGGTGCCCGGCGCCGTCTGGCCCTGAGCAGGGCTGCTGAGCAGCTCCCAGGGCTGGGCAGGGTTCAGGCTCTCCGGCTGGTTGCCGCATAGCGGGCAGACTGTGAGTGGGGATGGGCTGCTTACTCACATCCCGGCTGTGTTCCTGTGGGCTGCTTATTAGCTGTGCGACCTCAGGAGGTTATAGAACCTCTTGGCCTCGTGTGGAAATCAGGGATGTCAGTGTCCACCTCACAGCGTTTCACTGAGTGCTAAAGGAAATATCCAGGGCACAATCCACAATATGGACTCAATACAGAGTGCCCTCCTACTCCTTCTCTCTTTCCTAGCAGGGTGGTCCAATGCAGGCTCACTGTCCCCCAACCAGAGCCTGAGTTCAAATTCTAGCACCCCCACTTATGGCTGGGTGACCCTAGCTGGGTCCCTTCCCCTCTCTGATCTCAGTTTGCCCCTTTGCACAAGCCCAACACCAAGGGGCTGGGGTGGCTGGGGCAGTGAGGTACGTGTGTGCACCATAAGCCGAGCACCCCTGAGACGCTGATGGCCCGACGCCGTTTCTCCGGGCCTGGCCGATGCTCACTGGGGAGCGAGGGCTTTTCGGCTCTGGCTTCCGTCTCAGCTGCCAAGATAATTATTTTCTCTCTGTCAGCGGCTCTGCTGGCCAGCTTGCCTTTGGGAAAGGCCTAGCTGTGGGCGGTGGGGAGGCAGGAGGCCGACTCCAGTTCTGCCCCAGTCACTGACTCACTGCATGACCCCAGATGAGGGCAAACGCTGCCTGTCTCTGGGCCTCAGTTTCCTCCTCAGTGAAAGGGAAGTATTGGGGTCAGTGAACCCCAAAACTGTTTGTATTTCCAAGGTAAGCAGAATTTGGGGGCTGCCAGAGCCAGAAGGTTAGGATGTAGAGCCACTTCCTCTCCCCATGGCTGGGGTGGGGACACTGGGCCTGGTCCCAGGATCTTGGGGTGTAGGGTTCCAGCACTCATGGAGCCCAGCACCAGCCCCCACGGGGTCATCCATGCATCAGCTGACGTGTGTGGAGAGCCACTGGTGTCTGGCCCTCGCATGCAGTGCATTACACAGTCTGCACAGCTCTTTGAGGGAGGCCTTCTCTTTATTTCTATATCCCCTACAACAGTTGAGGAAACTGAGGCAGAGGGAGGCTTAAGAAACGTGTCCAAGTCACACACTTGGTACGAGGGCGAAGCCAAGATTTGAAGCAGATCCTTGTGATTACTGAGCCTGCCTCTCAATCACCAGGCCTCTTTGCCTCTTATCGAGGCCCTGGGCACCATTTCTCCCTGGGAGCCCCTGCCTGTGCACAGTGAGGTGGAGCCCAGGCTGAGGCCCTTACCGAGCCCCTTGGCGTGTATGGAGGCCTATGCTTCACGTGATGTGGGCACCACCTCTCCCGCTGTGAGCCACGATCTTTGTTCTGAGAGGAGCTCAGCCCTGCAGTCAGGTTTCCTGGTTTTTAGAGGTGGGCACTCCGGTGCAGAGAGGCACAGTGACTGTTCACGGCCTTGCATCGGGGCACCTTCACAGCCATAGCTTGAATTCAGGGTTCTGCACATCCCAGCCTCCAGCTGAGACCCCAGAGAAGCCCACCAGCCAGGCCTCTGGGTGTCATCCTCCCTCCTGCCCTCAGGGCTCTGTGGGCAGTAGGGGGCGTGTTGGTGGGCCGTTGAGGAGATGGGCCAGCTGAGCCCCACCCAACAAGGATGGTTGTGTGCCCACACTCCCAGTGCACCCGCAGGCCCTGCACTTCTGCCTGCTGCCATCTCTGCCCCGAGCACCACTGTCTCTGGTCTGGACCCTGGAGCAGCGTCCCCACTGCTCTTCTGCCTCCTCCTATTCCTCCAAGCCCTTCTCCCTTCACAGCCATGGGGGCTTCCTAAACTAGAACTAGGGTCACATCCCTCAGCTGCCCAGATGCTGCTGTGGCTCCTGCCCACCCTCTTTCTTACTGTCCCTGGCCCCTGGTCTCCACTCACGGCACCCCTCCCTTGCTCAGTGCATCTGCTACACCACAGACCCCAAGTCCTCCACTGGGCCAGGCACTTTTCTCTATCTTGGAGTCTTCACATATGCTGTTCCCTCTGCCTGGAATGCTGTTTGCTGCATCTTGGTCTGCCTCTCCCTGGCTTGTTGCTCAACTTCACTTCTCCAGAGAGGCCACCTGGGACCTTGAGTCTCTGCTGTGTGGCTCCTGGACTCATTGTTTGTTTCTGGCAAGCACTGCTTTTACTTTTGTATCATTTGATTCTTTGCTCTCGTCTGAGTCTCCGCAAGGGTAGGGATCACTATCACATCAGCATGCTTGCTGAATGTTTGTTGAATGAATGAGTGAATGCGAAGTGCCTTTGTCATTGCATCTCCCTGGATTCTCCCGGTGACCTTGAGACATACTTTGACCCCACTTTGACACGTGAGGAAATTGAACCCCAGAGAGTCTGAGAGCATATCTGTAATCACATAACCAGTAACTGGCAGGTGTGGGGAGTCAGGGGCCTGTTTATGCCAGGGCACCCCATCATGTCCCTTCAGAGTCCCCCTCTGTCAGATGGGGATGATATGGTGGCAGTGGGCAGTGGCCTCATGGTCAGTGCCGGGCCTCTACTGTGGGTAGACCCGCTGACCTCCCACTTTCATTGCAGCAGGATGGAGCTGGAGTGAGGTGGAGGGGCCGCAAGCTGCTGACCGGCGTGTGGAACACTGGTGGTTTGCAGATCACTGAGGTAGGTGTGCCACGGGGCTGGCGGGAGGTGGCTGGGTCGGACGCAGGTGAGTCCTCATGAGGGCAGGTGCTAGCCCTAGCACGCTGGACCTTTGACTCGGGCCTCAGCCCTGAGGGGCAGGAGCGGGCACAAGCCACCTTTGCTGGGACCTCATCATGCCCCCAATGGGCTGTCCCTCTACCTGGCACCCAGGGACCTCTTGGCCTGGCCTTTCTCTAGAGCAGCTGCTAGGGGTGGGGGCTGCAGGTCTGCCCGGGGAGAGGGGCAGGTCTGGCCACCTGGTCTTGGCACAGCAGCCCTGTCTGCACCACTCTAAACCCTGTGGAGTATGGGCAGCCCCACCAAAGGAGGCCTGGGTGAGCAGGAGCATGTCGGCTGAAATGGGTGCAGGGCTACCCACCCCTTCTGCCCACTCTCACAAACATGCCGAGATGGATACACTGGGCTCTGGGGTCAGACCACCTGGATTCAAATCCTGACTGGCATGCATGGTTACTCTGTGCCTCTGTTTACCCATCTATCAAATGGGAATGAGATGGCGGTGCCTGCTCCACTCTCGCAGTGAGGAGACTACACACCTGGCACACAGCAAGGACTAGGGACATGTCAGTCCTTTTCCTCAAGGGTGCTAGGACCCACCTTTCTCCCCACACACCTCAGTTTCCACCACCCTGCTCCCCCTGAGGACCCACCAGTGCCAGGATGGACACGAACTGGACCCCCCGCCTGATAAGGGGGGCAGGGCACCTTGAGGAGCAACTGAGAGCAGCTGGGGCCAGCAGGTCCTAAGGTCGGGGCCAGCAGGTCCTGAGGTCAAGCCCAGCTCTGTCCCGTGCCCCAGCATTTCTCATCATGGGGTGGCATTTCAGGGTTGATCTCACTTGGCCCTGTGCCCGAGGGTGACCTGTGTAATCCCTGTTTACTTGGCAACTCTCAACCTAGAGATGAGAGACTTCACAAAAATCCTTACTTGGCCCAGAGCCCTTTGTCCCAAGGCGTCGTGGTGCTGGGGCAGCCCGGGAGGGGGGAGTCTTCGCCCTGGTGTGGAGCTGTCTCCTAACATCCCCTGCTGCCCTCAGCGTCCCT
This sequence comes from Homo sapiens, assembly GCF_000001405.40. Classification (NCBI taxonomy): domain Eukaryota; kingdom Metazoa; phylum Chordata; class Mammalia; order Primates; family Hominidae; genus Homo; species Homo sapiens. The sequence goes on from NC_000010.11 coordinate 79,163,220, forward strand.
CCTGGAGCTTAGCGCTTCCAGGGGCCTAGGGGCAGGGCCAGGCGAGCCTCAGTCAAGCTCCGACATTGGAGAGCCAGGCTCCATCTCCGTTCCTGCTGCAGGAAATCCCAGCTGTCTGCTGATTGGCTGCATGACCTTGGGCCAGTCCCTTCCCTTGTGTGAGAGCCAGCTTTCTCATCTGAAAATGAGGCTGATTATACTGACATTGCTGACAGAGCTGCTGTGAGGATGCTTAGAAGCCATGAATATTTTTAAATGTCACAGTCTCGTGAGCATCTGCTGTGTGTGTGTCAGGCACTATGCTCCTTTAATACCTTTTTACCCCCACAAGAATCCCACGGGGAGGTTTGTCTAATTCATTCTCCAGAGGCTCGGCGTGGTTAGGAAACCCACAGAGCCATCAGTGCTGGAATGGGGATTTGAACCGAGGTCCATCAGGATTAACCAGTGCATAAGGCCTTAGAGGCCAGGGGCGGGGCCCCAGGACAAGCATGGGAGCTGCTTGGGGAAAGCCACTCCATTTCTGCCCTGCAGCCTTTGCCCAGCCCGCCAAGTCCGCTGCTCTCTGGAGCCAGAGGGTGGCCCTCAGGCTGGTGGCCTGCCTCTCCCGATGGGGCCTGCCTGCAACTCGATAAGGCTAGGGGAACCCCCTGCTAATTGTCTGGTAACCTTTGAAATTCTCCTTCACGGTGGGTTCTCTTTTCGGATGTTTTTCAAGGTAATTCATTCCTTTTCCATAAATTGCCAGTGGCGGAGCATTAGGCAGCTGGTAATTAATCATAGGAGCAGCTTCGAGTTGATTCTTTGAAAAAGAAAAAAAAAATGAGGAAGAGAAAGCCTTGGTGGAAAAAGAAAAGAAAACCACTCTAAGGCGAGGGTGGTAATCAATACCTTGGTGTCCTAGACACGGCTGGGGGTGGGGACGGTGAACATGCGGCCTTCTCTCCTTCTTCCCAGGGCTGGCCCACTGTCAGCACCAACAGCGGCAGCGTGGGGCTCCGCTCTTGACCATTGGCTCCCTGTATGGCTTTGAGAAGTTGCTGCCTTTCCCTGGACTCAGCTTTGCCACCTGTAAAATGGGTGAAGGGCAGCTGTTAAACTGAAAAGAACATTGAATGAACCATTGTTCACTACCACGTCTTAGTCCCTGGCACAGAGCAGTGGCCCCATTGATATTCTGTTAATTGAGTGAGTGAGTGAGTGAGTGAGTGAGTGAGTGATTCTCATGCGTCTCTAGGTAGCTGTCTTGAGTGAAGGAGGTGGTACTGGCTATAGGATATTGTGACTGTAGCTCTGTTATAATTTGGAGTGACAGTCAGGGTGATGGGCCAGTTCTGTCACTTTCCAAGCTAATGATGAAAGGACAGTCTTGCTTGGTGAACTCCGGCCAGGAGACCTCAGGCCCCTTAGTGGCAACCATGCTATCTCTTCAGCATCTTCCAATTCAACTTTCCAAGAGTCTGAGCTATCTGGAGATTTTATGTTAAAAAGCTGCCTCCTGCAGAGGTGGTGAGTTCCTCATCACTAAACTGTGTGCAAGCTGGGGTTGCGGCTGTATGGGCCACTTGGACAGTGGATTTTGGGGCTTGGAGCATCCCTGAGTCTGGGAGAGAGCATGAGGCTCTCCAGGATGGTTACTGGGGAGGCTGCACTGATCGGGAGGAAGCCTGTTCCCTCCAGAGCCCCTTCCCAAAGGTCCCAGGGGAGGACTGGACGAGGATACAGGCGCTGAGGCACCAGTGCCTGCTCCCCGCTGACTGGCCCCATTGCATGGACATAGGGGCACTGAGCAGGGTTGAGGGAAAGAGCCACACTCCTTATATCAGAGGGTGTCTAACAGGTTGTGGGTTGGGTAGGGGGGTGGGGAGGTACAGAAAGCCCTTGTCTGGGAGGTGGGGGCCTCAGACCTAGGTCTGATATGCTGGTCTGTCTGGTGTAACCTCAGCAGCTCCCTTTCCCTTTCTGGGATTTGGGCCACGATCCTTCAGGAGAGGGCAGCAGATGGGGAGTGTGTTCTCCAAGCCTTCCTCCCCTGCCTGGGTGAGCTCAGTTTGGGAGCCAGAGCTGGGCCTGACAAAGCCGGTTTCCTCTTAGCAGCTTCTCTCATTCTGGCCCTAATGTGGGACCAGGGTTCCTTGCCCAGAGACCCAGGATGACAGTGCACCCTAGCCTGAGTAGTGGCTCTGGGAGACTCAGAGCTTCCAGAGGGAGGGAGGGAGGAGGGTGTGTGGCTGTGTGCTTGTGTGTAAGTGTGTGCGTAGTAGCGTGTGCCTGTGTATGGGTGTGATTGTTCAGCAGGACGTGAGGCTGTGTGAATATTCATGAGTATTCAAGGAAAGGGGAGACCCCTCCCTCCCGTGTGTGTCAGGACCTCCAGGTGCACACTGGCTCCACATTCAGACTGGCCTGGGGGGCCCTGACCACAGTGGAGCTGACTGAGGGGCAGTGTGGGGCCCAAGCATTCAGGCCGGAGAGTTCGGACCTGCCCTCCCACAGCTGGAGGTCTTGACAGCTCCCCGTGGTCACGGGAGGGCATGGATTTGGCGGCCATGCCTCCTGCCACAGACTTACACCCTGAGCCTCTGGCCTGAAGTCTCTGGGTGGGCCCAACCAGCTCCCCCTAGGCGGGCCTGGTCTGCTAGGGGGGTCCTCTGTGAGCAGCCAAGCCTGACTTGGCACTAGTCATTTCTTTACTTCTTCTGGCCTTGGCCTCCAAGCCCCAGCTCAGCTGTGTGTGTGTGTGTGTGTGTGTGTGTGTGTGTGTGTGTGTGTGTGTGTGTGTGGGCTCTCCCTGCAGGGTGGGGCAGTGGGTCCATCTCTGCGTGTCTCTGTCCCATCTCCCCGTGGCTGTCTGTCCTCATCTCTCCCTGCAGCTCTCTCCTGCCCAGTTTTCCTGTCTTCTTACATCCCAGAGGCTGCCTCCGCCGCCACACGCCTCCCTGTCCCTGCAGCGTATCCCAGGGTCCCTGCACCTCCTCACCTCTGCTCTCCTTCTCAGGGCCACTCCTTACCAGGCCTCCCAGCAGCACGGCTGCACCATGCCACTGTGTCACTGCTTCTTGTCATCCTCAGGGCTCTGCACAACAGAGGCCTCCCTACCTTCTGCCTTTGCCTAAATCTGGCTCCAGCCAACATGCCACTCCCTCCCACCCTGCTCTTTGGCGGGTCTGAGACAACCCCACATTCCCAGCTGCTGGAGGCTGCACTCCGTGTGTGGCCAGGTGGTGGGGGAAGGTGCCATCCCCTCCCATGGCCCTGCCGTGCCGGCCACCTCCTGGCTCAGGAGTGCAGGCTGCTAGCCCACCCTGCAGCTGCCCTGTACCGTCCTGGGCATGTGGGTTGCTGGCCACCAGCTGGAGCAGGAGAACGAGAGGCGGCCTGTGCCCACTAACAAGGGGTGGTTGGAAACCTGGCATCTCCCTCCAGCATTAATGAAATTCCTGCTATAATTAGAAGTGAGGTGTACAGGAGCTGGCTGCCTGGTGGGAGTGTTTGTATGCTCATGAATAAGTAAATTGTCCTCTCCTGAAGGGAGAGGAAGCTGGAAGGTGTAGGCCCAGAGGGTCTCAGTGGCCTGTGAGGGGCAGAGGCCCCACCACTCACCTGGACGCCCTCGGGAAGCTCCCTCGGTCCCCGGCCTTGGTCAGCCAGTCTTCCTGGAAGTGCCTGCTGCGTGCCCAGCCAACTCAGCCTGGCATTCAAAGTCACCGCCATCTGGCCCCAGCCTCCTTTCACAGCCACATCACATGCTAGCCTTCTGCCAGCGCCCTGGGCTGCGGCTCCACCGTGCTGCCCCCCACCCCTCTTCTTCATCACACCTTCCCACTCTGTGCTCTGGCCTGAGTTTCTATGGGCTGCCTCATGGCTCCATCCTCGGAAGCCTTCCTCAGGCCACACCTGTGCCTCCTGGAGGCCCCAGTAGCCTTCCCTGGACAGGCCTCCTAAATCCAGAGCCTTCCTTCGACACTCTTCTTGCCGTTTAAAGTGTGCATCAGACTGCCCACCAGGCTGTTTTTCATTTTTCATTGATTACATATTGGGATGGTAATGTATTGGATTCACAGGGCAGATATTTTACATTCTTCATCATACTAAGTCTTTGAAATCCAGTCATTGCAGTCTCCACTGTTAGCTGTATTGCACGGCGCATGCTTGGAGAGTCCTGTTTCATCTTGCAGGTGAAGAAACTGAGGCCTGAGGGAGGAAATCCTGCAGGTGAGTTTGCAGAGCACAGGCTGTCTCTGTAGGCAAGGCCACTGCTGTCCTGCAGGACAAAATAAGGAACCGAGGCACAGGGCACTTGTCCTAAAGATATATCGAGGCAGGCAGGACCATGGCTAGAACCCAGGCAACTGAACCTGAAATGAATAGAGGAAAGGCGATGTGAGCAATTTCATTCCCCCCACACCGCCCACAGTAGATTTCAGTGCTTGAGGCTGCCCTGTACTTCATGCCGAAACAGCCCCAGACCAAGCAGCTGTCACAGGCTGGGCCACGTATTGGCCAGTCCTGCCCTTCATCCCTCCCAGCTTCCTGACAGTGCGCATACACCCTAGACGGAGCTAGGAGGGTGAGAGCCTTTGTTCCTCCCAGGAAAGGTCACCCCTGCCCTCCAGCCCCTCCCACATCAGCCAGCAGAGTCTGAATCTCAGAGGTGCCCAAAGGTTGTGTCCTCCTAACCAGCCCAGGTCTCCAGCGAGTGGAGGATGCCTGTGGCAGGGATGGCTCCAAGGCTAGGAGGGAGAAGAGGGGATTTACTCCCCAGAGCCTGGCCCTGCCCCTGCTGGCCTAGAGAGTTCTCCCAAAGTGGGGTGTTTCTTAGGAGTCAGGCTGGCGGCAGAACAGCCCCTCCAGAGCCCTCTACCCTCTGGAGCCAATTTTCCTCTTTGTTACCTGCAAGCCCCCTTCAGCTGCACTTGGCTGTATGCTCCATTTATGATCTACCTCTTGTTTGCCTCTGCTCAGGCAGTGTGGCAGGGAGTCATGGAAGGTTCAGGTGCTCGTCTCCGTCCACTGCAGACAGGGCTGGTGCCACTACCCAAAGCGGAGCTCCCCCGGGGGCCTACCTCCTCCCACCAGCAAGGGCTGCGGAGTTTGAGTGTACTGAGCCAACAGCCCCCCTTTCTTTCCCCAGCCCATTCCCTCCTTCATCTGCACACAGGCACCCCATGGCCTTTTTTTGTCTCTGTTCCTCCAAGCCAGCCATCTGCTCTTTCCCCACTAGACTGTATACTCCTTGAAAGCTCAGGGCAGGCTATGAACCATGTCCCCAGCACAGTCCCTGGCCAGTTCTGTGTTGAAGGGCAGCTGAAAGCCACAGACAGGCACCCAGCTTGTGCACCCTCAGCTTCCTCTGGGCATAGCAACAAGGTGATGTCTAGCATCCCAGTTGTTAATGTGCTTGTGGGCCGTATTAAGAAGGATTCGGAGGCTGTGTGCGGACTCCACGAGAAATAATGCTGTGCATCGTGTGGCGCATGGTCACGCTCTCAGCCCTGCTCCCTGGGTATCAGGTCTGCTTGACTGATGTCTCAGCTCTGGGCTGTGGCCAGTGCAGGAGGAGAGAAGAGGCAGGGACCTCAGTGTGACCCCCACAGGTGTCCGTCCACCCTGGCTGCTGGGTGAGCTGGGCCCCAGAAAACTTTCTAGAGCCCCCAGGGAGCTGACTGGTTAACGGAGAGCAGGAAATTTATGGTTGCTGAGCCTTTGGAAGCTTTTTGCTCACATCTGCCTCCCCCATTAAGTGCTTCTCACCCTTCTTCAGCTCCAGTTTGGGAAACAGCAAGCACATCTTGCCTCACGGCTGTTCTGGGACCGTCTACCGCTCCCCTGAGGCATCTTTAGGGACCTCTGTTGGAGCCTAGGGGAACATCTCTGCTTCATAACCTCTGTGAATTGCTCCCGTGGTGCCACCTCCATCTGGCCCACCCTCAGGTTGGTGGGACAGGCTGGCATGAGACGGCCCTCGCCCTTGCCAATAGCCCCTGCCAGTTTTCTCTGGTCCCTGGCCTCACCCAGACTTCCCGTCACAACCCCTGACCCCTGCCCTTGTCACCACCTGGGGTGCCAGCCCCCTGTGCTTCGTTGCCTCTGCCCCCAGCAATTCCCTCTCAGGTAGGGGTTCCCAGTTGCCTCCTGCCCGGCAGCTCCAGCGTGGTCAAGGATTGAGCCAGGAGGACTTTGATGCACTAGAACCTATAAATAATCTGGAGCATTTTTATCTGTGTATGGAAGAAATGCAACAGACTTCCTTGCATCCTGTAGCCAGCTTAGCCTGTCCACAGCCACAGCTCCAGAAGGGCTGATAAAGATCGTCTCATCCCTGGTATTGACTCCTCCAGCTGCTGCCCAGACACCTCCATTGCTGGAGAAGTCACTACACAGTTTTGCTCATGTAAATTCAGTGTGATAGAGGATAAAGTGTGGCGTGTGGTCAAAGTGTGTGGGTTTCAGGGACAGACAGTCCTGGGTTCAAATCTCTATTCTTCCACCTATCAGCCAGGTGAGTCTGGACAAGTTTCTTTCATCTTCAACTCACCTGTTTCCTCATCTGTAAAGGGGTGCAGTGCACCCACCTGGCAGGATAAAATGCAGCAATAGCTACACAGCACCAGTCCTCTCTGTTAGCAGCAGACTGATGCCCTTGGGGAGATACCTCCCACCCCTCAAACAGGAGCATCTGCTTGAGGTGGGCATTTGTTAGCTCTGGACCCAGACACTTCCCTCTCCAGAGACAATGGACCCCCAGGTCTTCTCTTGAGCTTTCAAGTGGGAACTTCTAGGAGGATACTTTGAGATGGAGACACAGTGCTTCCCAGGCATGCTAGCACACCCAGGCCACCTGGGACACCTGTTTAAATGCAGATCACCAGGCCCCTCTCCTGGAGTCTGATTCTGTAGATCTGGAGTTGGGCCTAGGCCTCCAATTTTTAAACAGATGCCCCCAGAAAATACCTGTGATCTGGCCAATCTGGGACACACTGGTGCCTGCAAAGGGGAGCTGGCCTAGAGACTTAAGCCAGTTCCTCTCTGTGGCTCAGTTTTCACACTGATAAACCAGGGGTTTAGATGACCTGGCAGGGATCTTTCTGCCCTTAAAACCTCATGACAATCAGACAGACATTCCCTGATGTCCCCTCTACCAGGGGCAGATCTGTGGGTTTCCGCCCCATTCCTTTTAGCCACAGAGCATTTGGCTCAGCAGCCTTCTGCCAGCCTCAGAGCCCTAGGGATAGATAGAGAAGCTGTTCCCTGGGTGTCACATGCCATTTATTGGCCATTCCCTTGCCTTCCAGGAGGCCCTAACTCTGCAGGCATTAGCGGAGTCCACTCAGATCTGAGATCTTTTCTGTAAGCTGAGCTGGATCACTAACTGGTACCTACTGGGAGGTAGGGCGGAGGCCAGAGTGGGTGGGGGCAGTCCTGCAGCTCCTCTGAGGCATCTGGGAGCCTTAATAGTTAATACACATGAAAGCCTGCAGCATTGGAACTGCAGAATGACCCCGCAGAGCCCTCCCTGTCTTGTTACAGATGAGGAGACTGAGGCCCAAAGTGGAACGTGCTGGCTAGGAGGATGTGAGCTCTGGGAGCTCCACGTGGCTCACAATCTGGTCTCTGGGCCAACCCATGCGGCCCACCATGCCTCTCGTTGTGTGGTCCATCTAGGATGGGCAGCCCCGCCAGGCTTAAGCCCTCAACTTAAGCTGCTGAGCCCCTAGGAAAAGAGAGTGCCATCTCAGGACAGGTCCGAGGGGCTGCCTGCTCCTGAACACTGGTCCCTTCTTGGACCCGCACTGTCAGCCTAAATCAAGAACCCCCTCCCAGCCCATGGGTCCTCCCACCCCAGCCAGGGCAGCCCCCATGGAAGCTTTCCAGAAATATCCACGCACAGTGCGGTGAGCTCCAGAAATGAAAAGGCTCTCACACTCCCTGCTCCCTCCCGTTTTCCACTCACTGCTGCTCAGGGGAGTTAATAAGCAGAGGTGAAAAAGCTGGCCCTGTCCTGATGAGATCTCGTTTGAGGCAGCTGGGTCTGGGCTAATGCCAGAGAAGGAATTCTTCACTGCCGGGCCTTCACTCCACCGGGGATGAGGCCAGGGCCTAGAACTTAGGGACTGGCCTGGGCTGTCGCTCAGAGGATGCCGGGGGCCAGAGCTTTGTCTCCTTCCTGGGCTGGGAGTCCCACTGGGTCCTTAGTTCACATGTGGTGCCTGGTACAGCACCCACCTTCAGGCCTCTGCGCAAGTCAGCCCCTCTCCACTGCTCTCTCTATCTGTACTCAGTAAGGCAGCAGTATTTAGTAAGCACCTACTATTTGTGTGGGTCTGTGCTCGGCTCTTCAGGAGACAAAGAAACAGACCTGTGCCAGCCACAGGGGAGCTCACAGTCTAGGCCACTGTAGGTCACATGCAGGAAGAAAATTTGTGATGCACCGTGTCCACGGGGCAAGGGATGTGTTGAGATCAAAAGAGGAGGAGTCCTTGGGGAGTGAGGGCCTATGGAAGGCTTCCTGGAGGAGGATGACTGTAATGGATTGACACTCAGAGCATTTCAAGAATTTCAGGTGGGGCTAGGGCTGGGGCAGGTGATAGTGCTTGTACCAGAGCATCACTGGGCACACACCTGGCCCTGTCCTGCGACAGGAAGGCCCAGCAAGGACGGAGCCATGCTATTGAGGCAGCCACAGGCTCAGACCTGGTACATCGTAGGCCATATCCCTATGAAGTGAATGACCAGCACAGAGCACTGCTTTTTAAATGTAGTAGGCACTCAATAAATGCTGACCAAATGAAGGGTACATCACATACACTCAAGTATCCACAGAGCAACCGAGAGCTCAGGTCAGGAAGCAGCAGGGATGAGGAGATAGGGTGCGAGGCCTCTGGGGCAGGGGCAGGGCTCACAGCAGCTCAGCCTCATTCACTGGAACCCAGAGTAGTGGGTGCCTGCTGGGGGCATCCTTCAGAGCCACACGTCACCCTCCTAAGGGCACACTGTGACACCTGACCAAGCAGGAACATGGCGGGTGAGGACGCCTAGGGCCCAGCTGGGAGCCTCCCTGGGGCACATTTGTACCCAGTGTTTGGTGTATGCCCTAGACAGACCCACCCTCCCTAGAGCTTCTAGGACAGGAGGAAAATGAGCACCTGTGGCATGTCTGTCACTGAAGAGCAGAGGACAGGCCAGCTACAAAGCCCTTAGATGGTCATGGTTATGATAATAGTAATAATGACAACAGTGTCAGCAGCCAGGGCATCATTTATTTGATCCCAGTGACACCCTATAAGGTAGGGACCAGTATCATCTCCATTTTATGGATGAGGAAACTGAGACAGAGGGAAGTTAGGAAAATAGACAAAGTCTCCAGGTGCAGAACTGGATAGGAACTTGGGTCCTTTGACCCTAAATTCCAGACTGGCCTTTGGTTGGCCTCTCACTCAACCTAAGGAGCATCCCATCCAACCTTCACTCCTGTCATATGGAGCATGAGGGCCACCGTTGCATCTTTTGACACAAAAGAGGAGGAGGACACGAACTCTCCAAAAAATCATTTTAAGTTTTCCATTATCAAACTTTACACAGGTCCTTCTCATACCTTCCCAGCTCCATGGGAAAGATGAACAACCAGTGTCTGGATAATGGGCCCTTCCCCTGAATTGGTCCTTTGTAACGGAAGTAAATTTTCTGCCAGCCTTTGGTGCCCAGCAGTTTGATAATACAGGTGTTTAAATGGTAGTGACTGTGGGGCCAGCCAGGAGAGGAGGCAGTGAGTCAGATGGGGGATTCACAGGAATTAAAGGCACTTAATCTCAGTACAATATGATTTTTCCAAATCTGCTGGCTCTGCACCAAGAATGAGCTGACCCTGGACACCCTGGGGCCTGGGCTGCTCAGGGCCTGCTTGGCTGTATCAGGGAGGGCTCTGGGCTGAGGAACTCCTGGGAGGTGGCACTGGCCTAGGGCAAGCTTGTCCAACCCGTGACCCATGGGCCACACGTGGCTCAGGACGACTTTGAATGTGGCCCAACATAAATTCGTAAACTTTCTTAAAACATGATGAGATTTTTTTGCGAACTTTTTTCTTTTTTTTAGCTCATCAGCTGTTGTGAGTGTATTTTATGTGTGACCCAAGACAATTCTTCCAATGTGGCCCAGGGAAGCCAAAAGATTGGATGTCCCTGGCCTAGAGGCTCTGAGAGCAGATTAGGACCAAAGGGTCCAAGGGCAGCCTAGTGTCCCTGTTGCTAGGAAGCCCCTTAGGCCACAGAGGACAGTGGACAGTGGGGCGGGGAGCAGGGGGCGGGGTGGCTTCTCCAGGAGTGTAATGAGGAAGAATTTTGAGAATATACCTTGATCAACAGACAGAGAGCAAGGGACCTGCCTAAGACTACCCAGCCAGGATTTAAGACCAAATCTTTGCTGTTAATCACTATGTTATCCTGTAGAGTGTGTGTTATGTGTTGGGGGAATCTTAATGGTAGCTGTGTTAATTAGCACTTACCCCAGTCATTTTATATGTATTATCTAATTTAATCTTCATAGAAATCTGTTTCAAGTATGAGTAAACTGAAGAACAGAGACGCTAGGTAATATGCTCGTGATCACACAGCCACTGGGAGGTAGGATTAGAATTTGAACGCGGCTCCATCTAACTTTCAAGCCTGAACCCTCAGCCAGACCCTGGCACAGAGCATCCACCCCAAGGGACCGAGACCCCTGCCAACCAGAAAGATCAGGGAAGCTTCTTGGAGGGCATGTCAGAATTTGTTTCCGATGGAGCTGGTCTGTAAACTTCAGGTTCCCTGACCTCCCAAGGGCTCTTGCTCATCCTCAGATTGCTTCATGGGGCCCACTTGCTGGGTGCTTGGAGGGTGAGGTGCATCGTGGGTGCATTCCTCAGATCCCACTGGGATTGCTGAAGCGGCCAGCACAGGTTGCACCCACCAGCTTTGGGGCAGGCCTGCCCATATTAGATTGCAGCTTGGAGCCCTTCTCAGCATCACCCAGGACAGTTCTCTCAGCCAGGGTGGGGTCAGCGTCGGGGACACCGGGGACACACAGCTCCCACTGGGAGGGGCAGGGAAGGGCCGTGACCAACTGGACAGAAGAGAGTTAGTGAAGACAAAGGCACGCCAATCCCTGGACTCCCAGTTGTCGGCTCCAAAGGGATGAGTAGGAGAAGTGGCAGGTGGTGAGGCCCTGCCAGTAGATTGCACCTCCATTTGATGGGCAGTGGGGAGCCGGTGAGGGTTTTGATCTGTAGAATGACTGTGTGCCATTTCTCACTGAGTTTTCATAGAAACCTAGCATGTCAGAGGACAGAGACCAAACACTGTCAGGAGAGTGGCTCTGCTCCCCTGGGTGCTGGCAGGGAAGGGATGCTCATGTTGGGAATCCCCTTTGTAGCTGAGATGTCCTTTTGCAAGTCTGGTCTTTAAAATCCAAGCCCAGTTGGTGTGGGGCATAGAAGAGCTCAAAGTGTTAATTCAGAAATGTGGCTGAGTTTGGGGGAGGAGTGCACAGAAAACACGTGACACACACAAGATGCAGGCTCAGTGTAAAACTCTGGATGCCAGAGGCTGGGGGATCCGAGGGTCCAACAGTCCCACCCCCTTTGGATGGGAGAAACTGAGGACATAAGGGGCTTTGCCCGAAGAAGCCCAGGCCATTGCAGAGGAGGGCGCAGCATCCCCAGGTGACACCTGCCCTCCATGGGGGCTTTCCTCCTTCCATTGTGTGTCTTTGACCTTCCTCCCAGGCCTCTCTCTGAGCGTGAGCTGAGGCTGAGGGTTGGAGCCAGCTAGGAAAGAGAAGAGCCAATGTGTACCTTCCAGGTCACCTCACCAGGCTTCACAGGTACAGAGCAAGGGGGTCCTCGCAAGGAGCCAGTGGGGACTCAGTGGCCTGTCTTAGACATTGGTATCATAGCACCCAGATAGGGAGGGAGACCACTGGTGGCAGCAAGCCTTACGCTAATTCATGACCCAAAAGAAACCCCGAGCAGTCTGCCCAGGGTGGGGCAGCTGCCCCGAGGTGTCCTCTGCCCACCTGTTTCTGTCCCACTGCCCTCACGCTTCTTAGCAGCCACAGCTGCCCGTCTGCCTCTGGCTCTGGCTCTGCCTCCTTCTGTGTGTGGGCCTCCTCTCGTGATCATGCCTGTATTTCCCAGTGCTCCTTGCTCACCCATTTTTGTCTGTCTGGCATCGTGTCTCTCACTTGGGTTTGTCCTGCCCCGATCAGCTGGGTTGTACCACCCCAGAGGGCACCCTTCCTGCAGGAGGCCTCCTCTCTATCGCTGGGTTGGGCTGGGCTCCACCTTGGTGCTTGCTTGCCTCTGAGGACTTCTCTAATCTGTGCACTCTGCGTGTGTGTGTGTGTGTGTGTGTGTGTGTGTGTGTGTGTGTGTGTGTGGAGGTTTTTACAGACCCGCATGTATGTGTCCCTCCCCCTGGCCACCACACCCTTCACACCACTCATCTCTGCCCATCCTTGGGCTGGGCTCAGGTTCCTCCCCACTCCCCATGGGCCAGCCAGCAGGAAGGCAACCTGCAGCCACAGTGTGGAGCCCACTCCTTGCAGGCAGCCCCGGCATTCCTGGCTGCAGCAAACCCTCCGGGCTTAGCCCACAGGACTCCTGGGAGCCGGTGTGAGCCTGGCCATCATCCAGCCTGGAGAGTGGCTCCTGTTTGAAAGCAGGAATGTCCTGGATGGGAAAAGGCAGAGAGGGGAGAGTTTGTGAATAAAACAAACAAACAAGGGATTATTTTCCCTGAAAATGTGCCCTTTGTCTAATGCTGGAGCTCAGGGAGTCCCAGAAAGTGAGAAACCAGGGCACAGGGAGGGCACTGTGCATCCTGGGCTGGGGCTGGAGGACACAATGGAGGGAGGGGATGGGGCAGCCACACAGACCGCACGTGTTCCGGAGGCCCAACGGGCCAGGATGACATTCCAGGGCCATTTCAACTGCCTCTCGAAATGTCATTAATATATGGCTAGCGGGGAGAGCTCCCAGGCTTCTCCAAACCCACCGTGTGAGTGGAGCCCCCTCCAGCCACCACCACTTAGTCATTTAGCAGATGTTTACTTAGTACCTATGATGGACCAGCGCTCTTCTGAGTATTTGGGATGCCTCTGAGCAAGAGACTGGGTGTCTGCGTCATGGAGCTGACAGTCTGGCAGGGGAGGAGAGAGGCATAGATCTTAGAGCTCCGAGGTCTTCCTGACAGTCCAACCCAGTCACCCTCCCAATCATACTGCTGGAATCCTGAGGCTCAGGGAGGTAGGGAGTCAGCCCTCCATCCTCCTGGTGCCAAGGCACAGCCCATTGGCATAACATTCGGTGCACACTGGCTGAATGAACACCCCTCTTGCAAGCATTGCTCAGTTTACCGAGAATTTCCCAGAAGCACCTGGGGATAGGAGGGGCTGGCAAGGACCTGCTTGATAGCAAGGCTTTTGGAGGTTGCAGGATCTAGACTGGGAGAGGTGTGCAGTGGAGGTGAGCTGCCATCACTGTCATCGTCCCCCTTTGCCCATCAACCCCGTTGGGAATTTGCCAGTCTGGGTTGAGGTCAGTCTTTCTTCACTAATAATCTGATGGCATTGGGAAGTCTCTTTTCTCTGTGGGCCTCAGTTTCCCCATCTACCCAGTAAGAAGGTAGGACTGGCTGATGTGAGCTCCAGGAGGCCAGGGATTGGAGTTTGTGGCAATGTGTCTCCAGTGCATCTGCTGCTGACAAAACCGTGTAAACTGTGCCATGCACTGGGAATGAGGCCCCTCAGGGATCCCACAAGAGGCCCCCTGGGTCCTGGGACCCCACCCGGCCTGTCTCGGTTCCCAGCTGCAGCAGGGCCTGGGCTTGCTCTCCCCAGACAGCCGGGCCAGTGAAGCGTGGGCCTGCTCACAGCGCCTGGCAGGGACCTGTAAATTGAAAACATGATGTTTCCTGTTGGGGCTGGACTCAGTGTGGCCTTGGAAAGCTGGCCTCGCTCTCAGGAAGCCCTGCTCCCCACAGCACCGCCACAAAAACAGTGGAAAAGTGAAGCCTTTTCAAGTCTGTGTTTCCACTGTAAACAGGGGATGAAAGCTGGCCTCGCCTCCTGGAGCTGTTCAGGCCAGGCTCCTCGGCCCTGTCTTTGGAGGCACCTCAGCTGCCCCTCTGCCCCAGACAGCACCCCTCTAACTGGAGAAGCCGCCCTGTGCCCCCAGTTGACAAAGGCTTACAGGTTTAGTTCAAGCACACCCAGACCCGTTAGTCCTCGTATCCACCCTGCGAGGTGAGAAGGGCCGGGGGAGATCAGCAGAGCACAGAGAGGCATAGGACTTGCCGAAACACACACCACCAAGGGAAGGCAGACCCGGACCCTGCCTCCTGCCCCGGGATGTCCTCACAGGGCCTGCAGTCCCTGAGGAGGCTCTTGTGTGTGGCCCTGGGTGCCTAAGCACAGATGCTGCCTAACCCAACATGAGCTTGACTTTGGCCTGTAAATGGAGAATCTCACACATTTAGTGGAAGTGACTTATTTTAAACTTTAATAATGTCCTTTTTTTCCTTATTGTAAAGTATATGCATGCTTGCTGCAGAAAGTCTGGAAGTCAGAAAAGTGAAGGAAGAAAAATAAAACTGCCCTGTAGTCCTCCCACCCAGAGGTCATCCTGGTCATCATTCTAGTATGTTTCTTTCTGGTCACCTTATAATTTTCTTTTCTTCTCTTTTGGACTAAGTCACGAGGAGGCTTCAGAGTCATTCAGTGCTCCTATTAGACATGATCCTTAATGGCCACATGGTGGGGTCTTAGGAGGGGCCAGGGCAGTATCCTCATCACAAGCAGCTTGCTGCTGGCTTGGGCTGGGTGTGATGGGGTGCTGCTGGGGACTCTGGGGAGATGCCCCCCACCCTGCAGCATAATTCATGGTGAGGGCAGCTTGGCCGGGACCCTCATGCTAGAAAGTCTTCCAGTGGCTCTGATTAACTGTGTGACTCTGGCCCACCTGTCCTGTCTCCCCATCTGTGAACTGGGCAAATGGGCCCCATTCGAGTGCTCATGGCCGCCCTTCAGCCTGCTACCAAGGCACTGCTTACTGACAACCTGCAGGTGTGGCCACGCAGTCCCTTACTCAGTTGGTCGTGAACAGAGTGCCTACTGTGTGTTGGTGAGTGACGCCTACCAGAGGCGCCATTCTCTCCACCATCACCCCTCCTATGTTCCTGCCCCTTTTAACCTGCAAGCCCATCCAGCTCTCCTCCTCCCTGACCCCTCACCAGTTGGAGCTGGAGCCCAGCTGGGCGGGGGTGAAGGAGGTCCCAGGAGGAGCCATCTTCAGCCCCTTCTGCCCTGGTGACATCCTTGGTGGCCCTGAGACAGCTTTATGGAAGACAGATTAAGGCTATCTCCTCCTGGTGGGTTCATGTCTTCACTTTTCAAGCCCTGCTCTGAGTTCTCCACAGCGGCATCCCTGCCCCACCCCTCCCCCACCCCCGCATGCTTCCTTCCCTCCTGCTCTAATCTGTCAGCCCAGCCGGAGAGAGGGCCACTGGTCTCCAAGGTGATTGAATTATTGTGGGGGAGACAGGCCAGGGTTTTCTGCGTGAGTGCTTTTGGCTTCCTGCCCTTGGAGAGGGGCTGGGGGAGGTGTGTGGTGGCAACCATGGGCCGTGGATCTCCCAGACAGCCCTGCTCTCCCAAGCCAGGGCCGCATGAAGCCCTGCCCCCGCCTGGCTCAGCGCTGCTCTGCTCTGGCCCAGGTTCCACCTCCAGAGGAGTGGGCCCATCTCAGTCCAGACCCTGGAGGAAGGAGAGGAGTCGGGCAGCTGTGACTGCTGACTCACACATGAACATTTCTTAAACATCTGCTATCTCTGTGCTGCAGGCCAGGAACCCAGGATGGAGAAGAAGAGGGATGCTAGCACATAAAACACTTACTGTATGTGCCAGCCCTCCAAGGGTAACTCCAAGAGTTAATGTTACTGGTAGCAACAGGTAAAAGTTACTGGCCTCAGTTTTATAGCTGAGAAGGGTGCCTGATATGAATTCCTTCTCCCACTCACCTGTGGACTCCTAGAGAACAGGGGCTCTGTCTGGGTTCTGTCTGGATCCCTAGGGACTGCAGAAGGCCAGCCACTCAGATGGGACCTAGTTAGTGCCTGGTGAACTCAGTTCTACTAGAGTAAGAGAGGTGAGGTAACTAGTATGAGGTCACACAGCCAGAAACAGAACCCCATTTTGCCTGGCTCTGCACCCGCACTCAGTCTCTGGGGCACCACGCCTCTTCCAGGCTGAGTGTTGGCAAAGAGGCCTGCCATCTAGCTGGCACTGCCCAGCCACATGCCCACTGTGGTGAGCTGAGAGAGAGCTGAGTGGCTGCAGGTCTCAGCCTCTTCCCACTGGTGTGCTTCAGTCTGCTGGTCAGGCCCCACGCACCGTCTCCCTGCAGTCTGCTTCTTCCCTGGGAAGGAGGGGCCAAGAGGGGAAAGCCCCTCTCTCTGCCCTGCTCCACACTCTAGCTCATGGAAATGAAAAACACATTGGCTTCATTATCCCTGGATTGAATGAGCAGGGTTGCCATGGCAACAGCCATCTCAGGCCCACAAGGGGGCAGAGGAGGGGCTGGCAAGGCCGAGGCAGGTGGGGACCAGGCAGTGGGTGAGCAGGCACTCCAGGCAGGCAGGCCACAGGGACAACCGCCACGCATGCCACCACCCTCTCTCAGAGGCCAGTGTCAGATCAGCATCCTGGGGCCAACGGGGCAGGCTGGGCCTGTCTTCCACTGACCTGCCCCTCATCCACTCGTTCTGTCTCCTATCCACCTGTCCCCTTCCTGCAGGGTGCCGAGGGTGGAGACGGGCCCCCACAGCACCATGAAGATGAAGGAGACAGGTGGAGAGAACAAGGGAAGAGGGGATGGAAGGGAGCCAGGAGGGGGCATGGCCTGCTCCTGATCAGGGACAGCCCTCAGGGGGCCTCTCGAGAGGCATGAAGTGAGGAAATGCCCCGAGGTGCCAGGCTGTGCACACCCAAGCACACCCGTGACCAGGGCCATGCTAGTGGCCCTGTCCCCCAGCATCACCCTCCTTAAAGAGGCTGGGTCCCCCAGTGTCTACTAGGACACTATGAGTGATGTTGGCTGTGGGGGTGACCACAGAGGGTCCTGGCCCAGTAGCCTGGGCCATCCCATGACCCTGACCCCTGTCAGAGCTAGCTTCCCTGATACCAAAATGAACCCTCCTTTTTCCAGGGCCTAAGTGCCACCTGCCTCCTCTGTCCCATGGGCTGTCACCCCAGGGCTTGCATCTGAGGGCGACATCCCCCAGTAGGCCCTGCCGCCCCTTTGCACAGTCTGGCCCAAAGGAAGTGGGCTGCACCCCTTCCTCCTCCGAGTCCCCCAGAGGCGTGGGAGCCTGAGCTGCCCCTCTGGAGTGGCCCCAAGCAAACACCACCACCTTCCTCTGAGCAGGCAGCCTCAGCCAGTCTCTCCATGTGACCCAGACAATGGGGCAGCCCACAGGGGCCTCTGCTCAGGGGGGATAAAGTGCCCACAAGAGACTTTCCTTTCAGACAGGGCCATGCAGAGAAGCCCAGTGCTGACCGCAACTCCATTTGCAACTTTGACTCCAGTCCCAGCTCAAGCCCGGTCTTCGGGGCCAGCACACCTGCACACGTTTCCAGCTGCTCTCCCACCCCCAGCTTCTGCTCCAGCTAGAATGCCCTCCCGCCATGGCCTGTGCCTCCCCAAATCCAGCCTCCTCCCACTGCTTTTTTCTGATGGGGAAACAGAGGCTGAGTGAAGGGAAGTGACTCATCCAAGGCCACGAGGGAGTCAGGACAGTGTGGCCGTGTGTGGGATGTTCCTTTCCCAGGAGGCAGAGCTGTGGGTTCCCACTGAGACGGACCAAGAGTCAGTGTGGCCCTGCGTCCTGAGTCTCCCTGCTAGAGCAGGCTTGGGCAGGAGCAGGGAGCACCCGGGTTTCAGCCTCCTGATGGCCCTTCCCAGTGGGAAGGGGCCTGGGAGGAGGCTCAGGGGCTGACTCAGGTCACCATTCTCTTCTCCAAGCCTTAGTAAATGGGGACAGTCCTGTGGCCCTGCCTACAAACGGGCTGCCTGCTTCTGAGGAGGCTGGAGGTGAGCGGCTGGGCAGATGCAGTTGTGGTGTCACTGGTGCCGTTTGTAGCCTTGTCCTCCTGCCAAGTGGCGGTGGATTCTGAGGGGGAGACAGCAGAGGCAGGAGCAACCCCAGCACCTCCTTGGGGCGGAGGCATCCCAGGGGCTTGAGCAGCCACCTGCCCACCGGCTGCAACCAGACCCCAGAGGCACTTTCTCAAGGTTCCTAGGCCCTCCCAGGGAGCCGGGGTGAAGCCCAGGCATCATTGTGCTTATAGCTCCCCAAACCCCAAACCGTGGGCAGTGCTCACCTTGCTGTCCTCTAGGCCCTGGCTGTCCAGGTCACACCCCTTTGTGACCCCCTCTGGGCCTCATCCTGCCTCAGGCCAGCCTCAGGCCAGCCCTGGGACCTTGAGCCCATCCCTCCCTGCTCTTCTCTCTCATCCTTCCTCTACCCACAACCCACAGTCCCCATGGCATTTGTCCCCGTCATTGACCTCCCCTGACTTGGCGGCTGCATGTCCCGGCCCGCCTCCCAGCCACCACCACCACAGCCACCGCCCGGCTCCCCACCGGCAGCTGAGGGCGGCTGCTGGACAAGGCTGTCATTTTCCCTGCTGGGGATTACAGGTTTGGGGCTGCAGGAGTCTGAACTGGAGGAGGAGGAGGAGCCAGGACTCACCCAGTGCCAAGCTGGAGAGAGACAAGAGACACCTCACAGGAAGGATGGGCTGGTCCCTGGTTCTGTTTGGGCTGGGATGGGGAATTCAGTCACCTGACATTACCAGAACTGTGTGTGTGTATGTGCACATGCGTGTGTGCATGCATGGACGCACCTCTCCCGAGGGGCAAGGGCTATGTCCTGCTCATGCAATTTAATCCGCCCAAGCTCATTTTTCAGATGAAAAAGACAAAACTCAGAAAGGGCAGGGGACTGGCCTAGGTCACACAGCAGTTTAGAGGACAGCCAAGTCTGGGCTGCCTGGCTGCCTCCAGCTGCTGCCTGATGCACCCACCTCCTTCTTGCCCACCTCCAGGAGAAGGTGGGGGCCAGGAGTATCGACTGGGTGACTGCAGACCCCCGAGAGGGCCTGCTTCTCGAGAGAGCTCTGTGGGTGAGGTATGGGCTGGGTTTGGGGGGAGAGTGTCAGCTGGACTCAGAGTGCAGCAGCATTGGTTCTGGGTGTGCAGGAGCTAGGAATGTCTCCCAGGGGTCCACAACTATGAATACTGGGATGGGATTAAATACCAGCAAGGTGACCCCAGTGGATCCAAACCCCTCTGGGGGAAAGTGGGTAAGCGTATGTATGCCAGGGACAGGGCCTGAGAGCCCTAAGAGGCTTGAGGATTTGAAGAGGCCCAGGGTTGAAGAAAACACAGCGGAGTGGTTCCGAGCACAGCCTCTAGAATCAGACTGCCTGCCTTCCGAGGCCGAGCCCAGTCACTTGACTTCTCTGGGCCTTGTCTCCAGGGTCTCCATGGCGATTAAATGAAATAAATCTTGAACACTTAGTGCTGTCCGTGGTGTGTGCATGGTACGTATCCATTAGATGTACACTGTTTTCCTCCTCCTCGGGTCTGTAGGTGTTTCAAGGCCCTGCCCTTCACCATCTGAGCAGTGAGGGCTGGAGTAGGGCAGTTAGTATGGTGAGTCAGCCAGGAGGGTCCTGGAACTGTACTTGATGAGGCTCTCCCTGGACTGGGTCACTAAGGAGCCAGCATTTCTGATAAGCAGTACCAAGTCAACCTAGGTTGGCACCCAATCCCAGGAGTGGACTGGCCAGACTGCTGGCAGCCAGAGGGACCTGTCAGAGCTAACCCTTGGCCCCTTTCAGGCCCCATGGTGCAGGGAGCACAAGGGAGCCAAGGCTGGTGGGGAGGCCTGCCTGTTCTTGGGAATTCACGACGTGTCTGCCTGTCGCAAGTACCTCGATAAGGAAGATTTGTGGGTGAGATTTGCAATTCTGTTTTCTTGGAGGGTTATAAATCAGCTGCATGCACACCCGGGACGCAGCACAGGCCTGAGGCTCGTGCACGCGCACACACACACACACACACACACACGCACACACCCATGTGTGCAGAGACACAGTCCAGGTCCTGCTTGATATTCCCCAGTTCTCTAGGTTGATGAGCTCTATGAAGGGAAAAACTTGGGCCCCTAAACTGCTGCCTGCCCTAACAGGGTCCCAGAACCATCCAGAATGAAGGATGCAAGGCTGGGAGACGGTATCCCCATGGTTGGAGAAAGAGTGTGTTACATGGGTTACGAGCGTGAGCTCTGAAGTCTGCCTGGTTGGGTTCAAACATTGGCACTGTGAGTTACTAGCAATGCCCTTGGCTGTGTTGCTTTCAATGCTGTGTCTCAGTTTTCCCATCTGTGCAAAGGAGCTAATTATATCGTGTACTATGTGGGATGGTTGAAAGAATAAAACAAATCAATATTTGCAGAGTGCTTCAAGCAGGGCAGAGGACATAGTGAGTTCAGGAAGGCACGGCTGTTATCCTATCATCATCATCATCACCAGTTAAGGGCTGGGTTTTGGGGTCAGACCAGGGCTGGAATCCCAGCTGTGCCCCTTATTAGCTCTGTGAACTTGGACATACTCATGACACTCTCTTAGCCTCCAGTGCCTTCTCAATAAAAGGGACTATTCCTGTCTACTTCATAGGGTTGTTTAAAGGAGATGAAGGGTGCAATATCAGACCCTCAGGAAACGTCGGCCAGCGTTGCCTCGGTGCCTTGAGGTGGGATACTGGACAGGGCCTCTGGTTCAGAGCCTCCAGGTGGCTCTGCTCCGTGGCCTGTCTTCCTGTGGGAGGACAGTGTGCAGAATGTTTAGAAGAAAAGGGGAGGTTCTGGGGAGGTGAGCAGAGGGGAGGATTCCAGGAACCTCTGTCTTCCTTCCACCATCAGGGACAGAAAGCGCTGGCCAGAGTGGCTCTCCCTGCCCCTGCCTCTCCTTCCACCCCTCTCCCGATGTGCACACACAGCATTGTGAGCTGTGAGCGTGAGAATAGGCCTTGGAGACTGGCAGGTGTGACTCATGGCTCTGCCATGCACTTACTGCGTGGCCTTGGGCAGGTCACTTAACCCCTCAATTCCCTCTATTGAGGGATAATTGTGCCTGCCCCACCTGGCAGCTGGAGAACTAATTAAATGAGATAATGTGTGTGGAGCACTTAGCACAGCTCCCAGAGGCGCCCGGATAAGTGCCCTGCAAATGCAATCACCCGCCCCCTCTCTGCCTCCTCTCCTCCCTCTGATCCTCACTCACCTCTCTCTGCCTTCCCACACCTGATCCATGGACTGTGTCTTTCCAGGCCAGACCTTTCAATCTTTCTCTCTGGGAAGATGGGCTCTATGTCTAGGAGATGCCAATGGAGCCGTGTGAGCGAGTGTGAATGGAGGGAGAGATGAGTTTAGAAATCCCAGCCTGCTCTTCTGATCCAGTTCCCCTGTGCCAGCCGCACAAGGGCCAAAGTGTGCTCTGCATGAAGCCTGGCCTTTGCTGATCCATTGCTGCCCGTCCCCGAGTCTTTACTGCCTCCTCAGGGTCCTCAGCTGCTGTCAGATGAAGGCTTGCTTCCAAGCAGTTCCTGGATTTTTACCTGCTCAGCCATAAAGCCCTGCAAAGTGATGAATCTAGGGATGAGTAGCTGCTTGCACAAGTGCAGGCAGGAGAGACGGGGACCAGAGCCCATATTTTTGCAGAGCCAACATTTTTGCACCTCTCCTACCCACCTCACTGCCCAGGCGAGCAGGACGGTGAAGCCTTGGCTGTGGATAATTGTCGGGAGCATCCCAGGCCAAGCCTTGGTCTCCCATCAGAACTTTGGAGGCTGGACTTCTCTGTTGCCAGGGAAACCGGTGTGTTCCCAGGAAAGGAAACCACAGCACTTTAGCTGTTAAGACGCCCCCCTCCCCCCGAAATGAGTTCCCTCCAAAACGGATTCGCCCCAAAATTGTTGAGTCGGCAGCATCCTGCCTTCTCCCTGAGCCTGCTGAAACGATAGAAAATGCAATCTGCCCCTGACCTTGTGCTTTTCACCTCTTTTTAAAACATTCCACTGTAGCACAAGGACATGTTTTGTTTTTTCTTATTTATCCTCCTCCCATGCCAGCTGGGGCTCCAAGTCCTTCTCTCCAATTGTTGACTGGAGCCAGAAGGGAAAGGACTTCTACATCTTTTTTTTTTTCCTTGTTCAGCTGTCAGCAGAAATAAAACAAGCAGGTTTATATTTGGAAAGCAGAGGGTCTCAGCCACCAGATCGCTATGTCCGGGGTAGGTCACAGCCTTTGTATCTTCTCCTCCCTCAACAGTGGCTTGAAATTTGATCCACAGATTTGCAGAGTTGAGAGTGAAGGGAGGGTTTTTGGAGCAGGCCTGTCTTTACTCACTTTGACTTTTAAATGCCATTGGAGGATTGTGGATGAATCTTCAGTTGCTGACAACACTGGACCTTGGAAGAGATGGTTTTAGAAAAGAATCCCCCTGGAATAACCCTGGAGCAGTCAAGGTTTGGGCAGCATCTGGAGTGTCTGTGTCCATTCCTGTCCATCATCTGCTCCCTGTACAGGGAGGCTGGAACTCTCACCTGGTTCAGGAGGTTTCGAGGCTGTCTAAGGAGTAGCGAGGAGTCCCAGCCAGGCCCGATGACCCCAAGAGTTACTGTTAGGAGACAAAACCAAACAGGAAAGAAGGAAGAGAGAAATGTGGCCAGTGTTCACTTTCAGGTCCCTGGATGTTTTTGAGGGCACTGTAGAGGAGGGAAAGGGTGTGAAGAGACTTGGGTCCAAATACCAGACACACACCCACCACCCACGCCCTTTGGGCCTGGGTCTTCCCATCTGAACAACTGCCTGGCCCTGGATCCTGTCCAAGCCCTCCCCTGGTCTGTCCCATGGTCTGTGCTCTCAGGGTCACTTTGGGTGATCTAAGCAGTTAATTTTTTACCTCGAAGTGACTCTCTGTTCCGTAAGTAATTTTAAACAAATTCTCTTCCTGTCCTTGCACTTCCACAGGAGAAAAACATGACCCACCGGGGTTTTTCACCGGCCCCCACAGACTGGCGTGTCCCAGGCTGTGTGCCTGCTAGAAGCCCTGGGCAGGAAGGGGCTTGGTGGGGCCTCCAGTGTTTTTTAGCCCCATTTGGGATTTCCAGCGGGTCTTTCTTGTTGATTCCCGAAATCCTGTCAGATCTTGCTATTAGCATGAGGCTCTCAGAGTATAAACTAATGAATTACAGCATGATTACACAGCACATAATTAACTTTGTAATTAATATGCAACTGCCACTTAAGCTAAAACACTGCTTATAGAGACGTACAGCAATAGTAAATCACAGGTCAGAAGTAGCACTTTGGAATTTTCAAAAGAATGAGCGTGAGCAGGGAATCACTTAAGGCAGCAGAGTGAGTTAATTAAAAAGCAGATGAATGGTGAGAGTCCTGCTTCATTTCAATACCTTCTCCCTTAAGAAGGACCCCGTGCCACCCGCCAGGCTGACTGGTCAAAGGGGCACTGAGCATGTGGTTTTATTTCCAAAATAAGACGGGCTTTCCCTGCCCACTCTCTTAACCATCTGCCCAGCCACACTGCCCCTGCTGGAGGCCATGCCCCCTTGGCCCTTGGCACCTGGCTCCACCTCTCCTCCTCCAGGAAGCCTGTGGGGTGATCCCCAGCCTGGCCTCTGCAGTCTAGCCCTCTGGTAGGCACTCCCAGCAGGTAGGTTGGTACTGTTTGTCTGCCTTCACCTGGATTTTAGGCTTCTGGAAATCAGTGATGTCATCTTACTCTTTTTGTTTAATCCTTTCTTCCCCAGCCTCCTGCAAGAGTGTTAAAGCTAGAAGATGCCTTAGGAATCATCTCACCCCGTCCCCACTTCATCAAGGCCATGGAGTCCAGGGTCTGAGCGCTGTAGTCACACCACAATATGGCCTGGGCCAAGCAGAAATTCCCTCTCCCATGCCTGGCTCTAGCCCGGCGGACACTGCCAGTATAGCTGCGTGATTAGGCTGGAACCTTTGAAATGAGCTAAAGCCAAGTTCCGGTCCCAGCAACCTCACTGCCCAGCTGTGTGACCTTGGGCGAGTTGTGTAACCTCTCTGG
Organism: Homo sapiens; assembly: GCF_000001405.40. Lineage (NCBI taxonomy): Eukaryota > Metazoa > Chordata > Mammalia > Primates > Hominidae > Homo > Homo sapiens. Next base: position 79,187,433 of record NC_000010.11, read on the forward strand.
GCCTCAGGTTCCTCTTCTGTGAAGTCTGAGCTGTGGTGCCCACTTTGCTGGGCTGGAGTGAGAATTCGATGGGATGATGTATGCAAAGGGGCCTGGTGCAGCGAGTGGGCTCCCGGAAAGCTCAGCACCCCAGCCATCCTCAGAGGTTTGGGGTACAGGGAGAAATGAGTGACATCTTGATCAGCCCCTTCCTTCTGGGGCTGAGGAAATGGGCACAGAGAGGTGAGCCATGTGTCCACAGTGCAGTATGCATGCTGGCATGCTTGGGACCCCCAGGCCAGGATCCTCCTGAGGACACACCTTGTGTCCTGTGTCCCTCCCAGGCTGAGCACAGGCGGTGCAGAGCTGACCCAGGGCAGCGCCTGGAGAATGAATGAACCCAAGGGCCTCCCTCTGGGCAGCCGGAACCCGCGCAGTCTGCCACTCAGCTTCCCTGTTCCCCAGCCCCAGAATAGTGTGGAGATAGCTTGGTTTTGTGTATAGTTACTGGGCTTTGAAGTCTGATAGATCTGGGTTTGGATCTCAGCTTTGCCATCTTCTGATCTTGGGCAAGTTCCTTAGTTATTTTCAGCCTTAGTTTTCCCATCTGTAGATGGTGCCACTCATTCATTCTACCTTCGGCTATATTGTTATAAAGATAATTCACATAAAATACCAAATATGCTGCCTGACGTAGTACATAATGAAGGACACGCCTATTGTTCTTGTTACTATTCAGAATTATGAATGGAGATGTCAGTGTGACTGCAGGAGGGCCACCCACCTCTAGGGCCTCAGGTAGAGAATCCTGCCTGCTGCCTGGGCCACCTGGGCCTGCACACACCCTGGCTTCTGTGCCTCTGGCTGCAGTCATTGCTTGGATGGGACAGGGGAGGGTCATCTCCGCCTCAGGCAGCTCATGTGACCTTCCTACTCTGGCCTTTGCCCTTCCAGGAAGTGTTCTGGGCCGCTCTTCCCGCCCCCGAGCCAGTCTTGCTGGGGGAGGGAGCCCAGGGCGCCTTCAGGCAGGCTCGTGGCTGGTTGGGTATATCCAAGGTGGCCATGGCTTTCATGAAGCTGGACATGATACTGGATTCAGAATCCAGGATTCCGATCTTTCTGTGGCTTCTCTTCGCACAGACGTCTTTGTTTCTGGTCACGCCTTTGTGGCCAGAGCCCAGCTTGGAGCTAGGAATCTTCCTCCTGTCCCCCACCCCCCTAGTATCCCCTCCCCCAGTCTTTTACCCAGCCAGCTGGCCCTCCTTGCCTCTTCTGTGTCTCTCCTCCAGCCTCTCCACCCTTGGGCCACTCCCTTTAGGTCGGCATTTCTCAAAGCAAGTCCTGGGGAAAACTAGTTCTGTGGGATTTTAAAATGTGTTTAGTGAAAAAAGCATTTTTGCCATCCAGTAACACTGAGAAAAGCCAGATTTTGTAAGGCCCTTCCCATGCAAGCGTGCTTTCATGATCTCCCAGAGGAGGACAGAAGATGCAGCTTTCCCCAACTCATCTAACCGGGAATGCTTCGCTCAGGAGCACCTCCTGGGACCTGGTTTCCAAGAAACAGATCTGGGCAGAGCCATCTGGGGTGTCCCAGTCACCAGAGCACAGTGTGGCTTTTCTCTGATCTCCTGTCTTTATTAGAGATGGTGCCCAGGCAGACTTCATCTGGGCATCGAGGCCACTGCTGGAGGAGCTCACTTGTCCGAAAGCTCCTTCCCTAATCCATCCTTCCCTCTGGAACATTTGTGACTGTCCTTTGCCACTAAAACAGAGTCCCTCCAGCTCCTCAACCTGGCATTCTGGCCAATGGCATGGGACCCCTGCCTCCCTCTCAGCTGCAACCACCCAGGACTTCTGAGGCGCCCTGTTGAGCTCATGGTATGGTTCCCAGAGGGCCTGTAGAGTGGTGGTGTTTAACTCTGTCACGCAGGCACCCAAGTCTCTGGCTCCAGCTTCCTTCTGCCTCTGATGGAGCCGATAAGACCCACCAGGGCACTCTAGAGAGTGAATGTTCACCTGCTCAGGGCGAGGCTAAGTTTCCTAGTCACTAACCCAGTGAATCAGCACAGCAGCCTATGAAGTTGTACAATTATGGTTACTGTTGTTATTATTTATAGATGAGGGACCTGAGGCATACTGAGGCTAGCATTGTGCCCCAGGGCACAGAAGCCAGCAAGTGTCAGAGCCAGGATGCAAGCCCAGGCAGCCTGGTGCCCTTAACCACTAAGCTATACTGCCCATCTAAGATGGGGTGAAACATGGGTCAACTCGTGAGGTTATAACACCAAAGTGCTTTGTAAACTGTAGAGTGCTGTGCACATTAGACTTTCAAGTCACCAGGCAGCTTTGGAGCACCTAGCGTGATTTTTGTCTCTGTTGGTTTTCAGCAGGCAGCCAGGAAGCGTGTTTTCGGATTGCCTGTGGGGTGTCCAGCGTGTGCTTGGAGGGTTTCAGGAATGAGGGCCCTCTGCTCTTGGGCCGAGGTGGCTCAGTCCCCTGAGTAGCCTCACACCCAGAGACTCCACTAAATGAAGATCGGGCTAGACCCAGCTGACGCACGCCCCTCCCATGCCATGGGCTTTCTGGAGAGTAGAGCTTGATGAATCACTGTGCCAGCCTCAGCCCAGCTCCCACCCCCGGATCTAGGGATGCTAGAAATCTCCATAGGGAGCTGTGGGGGCTGCCCAGGGCCTCTGCAGGGAGAAGCATAGCTGCTTCCTAGTAAGAGCCAAGCCCCTGTTCCCATCACACTTGGCATGGGCACCCTGTCCTACCCCACCCCAACCCCCAAGGCGGCTTGGAGCTCCCCAGGGCAGGCCCGTTTGAGCTGTCTGTGGGCTGACCACAGGCCTGGCCTGGGCAGGCATCAGCAGGGGTGGACTGGATGTGGTTGGGGCAGTTGGGGCTCCTGAGGCCTGGGTGTGGGCCCTGACCCTGCCTCGGATCCACAGTGGGGCCTTCAAGGCTCTGCTCTACGCTCCCTGCCTCAGGCCTCCGTTTCCTCATCTGTAAATGTTAGGATAGGCCTGCGCAGATCCCAGATCACTTCCAGATCTAAGCCATGAGGACTTTTCATTGTTTTTCCATCTACCACTTTTAGCTCAAGTAAATGTCTGCCTTCTGATTCCTCTGTTTCCCCAATTTTTTGGTTTTTTAGAAATTAAAAAATATATATATACTAACAGTGAAGAGCAGCTAACTAAAGGAGTACACTCATGGGCTCAGGAGGAGCAGCCACTGCCCTGGGTCATTCACACCCCCTGTGTGGCTAGGTAGAAATCACCTACCCACTCAGAGCCTCAACTTTCTCATCCACAAACTGAAATAATACTTGTTTGCAGGCTACTGTGAGACTGTGATATAAGGTTGCTTGAAATAGGCCCACCCATCCATAGAGGCTCTTAGCTTGAAAAGAACCTGGCTGTGACTCTCAGTTTAGGGTAAAGAGCACAAAGTCAGGAAACGGGAAGTTTGCATGTGGATCTGCTTGGTGGCCTCAAGCTAAGCCCTCCCCTCTCTGGCCTCTGTTCACTGCCTTTTCAAAAATAGACCACCTAGAAGACTTCATCTCATGTGTTGGTACCAGGTGGTTAACAATGGCTGTGCAGAAGTGTATGTGGAGGATTGGCTGGGAGAGTGCAGTGATTGATTAGCCATGCCTGCTATGGGTGTGGGAGGTGGAGGGTTGTATGGATGCCACCTCCACCTCTTGCATACCAGAGCATTACCATCCCTATGCCAGCTGGTCCTTAAGGGCTGATCTAGTTCTGTCTAACTCTTCCTGGGGGATGCCATTAATCCTGCCCCTATTTGGAGCTCCTGCAGAATGCCAGGTGGGATTTGGAGCCTTGGGGAGCTGGGGGTAGGGAGGGGACAATGGAGAATACCTCCATTCCTGGAGCCAGGGTGTAGGAACATCTGCTAGGTATTTACAGCCTTCTAGAGGGCACCAGCTGGTGGTCGGGGGGGGTCCTGCCTCTGTCTACAGTCACATCCTTCCCTATATCCTCCAAGGGCCCTCGGGTAACTGTTCTCACCCCTCTCTTCCCCACTTCATGGCATCTGAGCCTTTGGAGTCACAGACAAGAGCCTTGAGGCAGAGCCAGGACAGGGACACTGCATGAGCACTGCTATCCTGGGAGAGGCTTGTGGCCTGGGCCCAGCACTGGACGGGCCTGTGACTCCCTATCTTCACCATCCTCAGCACTCCACAGCAGTGCTAGTCACCTTCCTCTCACTCAGGGAAGTTGGGGCTGGGGAAGGCAGTGTCTAGTTGAGGGAGGTCTGCCATATTCCCATGGAAAACATGATACAGAAAAACATGGGCTTTGTAATCAGACCTAGATTCAAATCCTGGCAGTTGTCAGTAGTGTGACCCTAAGCAAATCATTGCACCTCTCAGAGGCTCAGTTTCTTCATCTGTAGTAGCCTCTGTTTCTTCACCTGTAGTACTGTAATAATAATTGGACCAGCATATAGAGTTTTGAGGCTTAACTGATGTGACATAGAGAACCTAGTGTTTAGCACATATAGGTTTGATAGTTGTTCAGTACCTCTTTCCACTCTGAGGAAACAAAGTGTAGGGGTGTGGCCTCCTTGGGAATGAGAGAAAGCCCAAGGGGCCTTCTCCAGAGCTGAATCCAACCCTCCTTTGCCTCTGGGGAAGAGAAGCTGTCAGAGAAAGTTCACTGTGAGGTCAGGGATTTGGAGTATGGCCAGAGGATGGCAGGGGGGTTTGGCCTCAAGGGCATGGCCTCCTCTAAAGTGCCATGTGCCCAGAAAGACAAGGCACACCAAATGCAGCTAGGATCCCAGCCCTGTGTGGGTTGGGTCAGTGGGCTGGCCCCTTTGTCAGGGCCACATCACTGAGTGTTTCCCCAGGAAACTGTCACTTCTGAATTAACTTCTGTGTCCCAGGGCAGGTTGCTAGGCATAGCTGTGTGGGGCTGACTGTCATGAAGCCCCCACTCTGAAATGCCAAGGTTACATTATGTTATCCCACTAGCCAGCATTGACAATGGGTGTTCCCGTGAACAAGGATGGGTGTTGGGAGATTGGATCATGAAGAGAAGTGGGTCCACCCTTCCGGAAGCTTTGAGTGCCAAGCCAAAGCATCTGAACTCTGGTGGGGCAGTGTGGAGCCGTGTCAAGTCTTGGCACAGGAGCACTGCCCTGGTTGAGGAAGGAGGGACTGAATTCTGAAGAGTTGTGGTCCGAATGCAGAATTTCACTTTTTAAAACACTGTCCCCTAAGTATTCATTTGCTCAGCTCCTCAACACAGTGGGGCAGGGAGGAGATGGACTTTCCTGCTTGACAGATGAGGATGCAGGCTCAGGAAGGTGAAATACCCTCCCACAACCTCATAGCCAGGAGGTCTGGCTCTCAGGACCACTGCCTACCCAGGGGCCCCACCCTGTGCAATGACTCACGCTGGCCCGAGGGCCTGCTCCAGTTGTCCTGCTAAGAGCTGGAAGCAGCTGGCCCTGTGCAGCTGCCCGGAGCTGCCTCTTCCATCCCTCTCCCCATCTCGTCTCCTGTCTCTCTGCCCTTCTTTCTGACTTCCCTGAGGTAGGGCACAAAGTCACTCTCCTACTGTCCTTGCTTCACCACCACCCTCTTCCTCTGCATCCAGCCCGTGTGCCTGGTGCAGGCTACCGAGGTTTGGGAATGCGCGAGCCACCTGCGACGTGACCACAGGCAGCTTCCACACCTCTCTGAGCTTCTACTCATTACCTTTAAGGTGAGGAAGTCATCAGTCTACATCAGTGCTTGCCTAACCTTGGTCACTTTCATTCCGTTCATACTATGTTTAAAACAATTCTTTAATTCACTTAGGTCTGCTATTGCTACCTAATTTAACTGCATGCTAAATAATAACATTCATGAACTCATCAGTCCAAAAACTTCACTATGAGAATGTAAAAGGTTTGTCCATGGACCTTCTAAAGTCATCGTTATCCCACCAGAAGTACATGTATCTCTCTTTGGGAACCCTCAACGGGGTAACCAGTGTCTCTCTGAGTCCTAGGATCTTCTGATTATGGCTGGGTGATGGGTTTTTCAGCTCTCACCACCCTGGTTCTCATGTACACCCAGCAATGGGCGTGCGTCCACCTGCCTGTTCACCCATCTAATGAGTACCTGCTGAGTACGGAGCCCTGGGCTAGACTAAGGGATCTGTAACTGGAAGACATTCCAGCTGATGGAGAGACAGTTGCAAGGAGTCAGCCCTCATCTAGTGCTGCTACGATGGGGGTGTGTGACAGCGACATGGAGGGGATAGGGATGGAAACCAAGAAAGAGCACGAAAGAGTGACAGTTGAGCCATACCCTGATGGATGGGAGGTGTCCAGGCATTGCGGGCAGAGGGACAGTCAGAGGCAAAGACATGGAGGTGCGATCTTCAGAGCACAGTCCGGGAGGCAGGGAGCAGCCCCACGTTGGGGACAAGGGATGTGACTGAGAGTAGTGAGGGCTAGGGGCCAGGCCGAAAAGGATCCCAACTGATGCTGACATGTGCAGGTTGGCAGGTCATTGCTGAGCCCAGGGCTCATGAAGTTTGTCCCTTTGGGAGTCTAAGGCTGATGAAGGGGCTGTCTGGGATGTCCTCTGGACCCCTAGGCTTTCCCTTCTGGCTGTGTCTTGGAACGCAGCCTCTGCTCGCGGGCTGTAGGCAGAGCTGCCCACTCCTGCCACTGGCACCGCTTGCCCCAGGGGACCTAAGCTGCAGATGTGCATGGTGATTGAATCATTTCTGCACACCACTGCTCACACAGCTCCCCGGGGACCCCCACTTGCCTGTGCAAGCTGTCATGAGATGTGTGTGCTCAAGTGCATCTGTGTTGGCATCCAGCATGTGCACATACCTGCTGTGAAGTATGCAAGGGGTCACATGTGTATGTGCCTATGCACACGTGTGCTGTGCAGACGCCTCTCTCTGGGTGCGTGTGCATTATGTGGACTGATGAACTAGTGAGGCCTCAAAGGTGGGAAATAAAACACTTGTGTTGGGACAGCTGACTGTTCGGTTGGCTGCCACCCTTGGGAGCTAGCTGCCTGTGGAGCTCCACATTTCTGTGGGGCAGCTAGAAGCACCTCATCCCTGTGTCCAGTGAGGAGCCCCCTGAGGGCTGTTTGCCTCCCCCAGCCGTTGAGACCGTTGAGATGCTTCTCTCCTTGCTGACTTGGCAGCCCAGAGATATCCAGGGCTCTATTTGGACCTGTCAGAGGGGCTCCAGCCCAGCTCTGCTCACGATGCCCTCCGTGTCCTCTTCCTCTCCCCACCTCCGCTTCCCACCCTGCTGCATGAGGGCATGAGGCAGGTGTTCCCAGGCCTTTTCAGCTCTCAACGTTCTATCCTCCAAGCAGCCCTCTATACATAATAGCCGCTAACTTTTCTTGAACTAGTCTTCTGCACCAGGCGCCGCTAAGCATAGACACCCTCGCTCTGCTGGGTGGTGAGAAGTGTAAATGGAAGCTTGGTCCCGAAAGACGTCCCACGGGAGTTGGGAAGACCGAGCTGACCCCATGTTACCATCCAAAAACTTCCATTTGCCCAACTAAGCCCAGCCAAGCGTAAGGTGCAAGAAGAAGCACAGAGCTGTGAAAGGGGCAGCGTCTTGGCCTTGGGCTGCCCTGGAAGAACAGCTCCCGGGGCTGCCGGGCCTTCAGCCTCCCCATGGACCTGCCTTGGGACAGGCTTTGCAGCTTCAAAAGCAGGCATTCTCCTCTTGTGGGGATGGTGTTTTCTGAACAGCCGGAGCTCCTCACAGGGAATCCTAAGAGGCTGGTATTTGACAGGCTGCCAAAGGCTGGCCAGCCCGATCCTGTGCTTTGCAGACAGCGAAATGGAGGTCCAGCTCTCTGCCCTATTCACTCAGCAAAGCAGGGTCCTGATCCCCCATGCTGATTAGCTTTGCATGGCTCCTGGCTGCTCTGACCAGGAGACATGGCGGGGGTCCTGAGCCGGGATGGGGGTAGCCTGCTTGGTCTCACCCCCCATTCAGGGGCAGTAGGAAGGGCTGAGGCCACGGGTGCACCTGGGGCCAGGCCGACAGTGATCTGTTGGGCGGGAGCCCGGCCTCTCCGGCTATAGAGCTGCAGCCACGGAGGATTTGTAGCGACTTGTAAAGGCTTAAAGGAGTCCAGGAGCCCGGAGGCGGAGGCAGCGGCCCAGCTGAGTGGCGCTCTTGTGGCGAAGGGCGACCTCTGCTGGCCACCAGGTGCGTGTCACCTCCCAAAGGTGGCCGGTGTGCAGGGAGCCCAGTGATGTAAGTGACTGGATTTGGGCAGGTTGGGTGGAACAAGAAGGTCATCTCCTGGGGCCCAGTCACAGCCGGAGGTGGGGACTACCAGGAAGCTCTGACTGCCAGTCATGGGGAGTGCAAAGAACAGCACATTAACAGCTGGAAAGGTAGAGGGTTTGAATCTCAGCCCAGCAGCTTTCCGGCTGTGTCACCTTGGGCAATTTGCTTCACCTCTCTGAGCCTTTTAAGGATGAAGAAAATTAGCACTGCATAGGGCCTGGCCTGGTGCCTGAACATAGCAGGTGTAGAACAAATGGAAGATCCCAGCCTGCCCCTCAACAAGCTGTCTCTTGCATGCCTCCCTCAGCGCACCCTTCCTCTCTTTATGCCTGAGACCCTTTGCTCTCTAGGCCTTTGACCCTTTTACTCCAGAGACTGGAGCCTCCATCTCCTCCATTCCTGGGGTTAGTAACCGCAGTTCTCCATCATTGACCTCAACAGTTTAAAAATGTCACCTCACCTGTAGGTGCCTCCATAATCCGCTAGCCATTTGTTCTTTTATTAAGAAACACAGGACACAGCGCTGTCCCTGTGGTCTGCGATGTCCCTCCTGCCATCCATCTACCCACCCTTGGGTCTCACAGGTGTTGCAAGCCCAGACACTCACCCCTCGGTTCCTGTGAGCTGCAGCCCTGCCTGGGAGCAAAGCCCCCCTGGGACCTGGACCCAGCCCAGTGCCCCTTGGCCTTGAACAAAACACTGATGGGCCCCAGGCTCCTCAGAGTAAAACCAGTTGAGGCAGAGCGGGTAGATAGGGGACCTGAAAGCACCTTCGGCCCTTAATATTCCAGGAATCTTTCTGTCCAGAAGCCAGTTCAGTCCAGCCGCCGGCCTCCAGACAAGACTGCCCGTGACCCCACGTGGGGCCAGCCCGAAGGTGGACAGTCCCATCTCCCAGTTTGCTGTTAACTTCTTAAAGCAGGACCTGGGCCCCCGCTATGACTAAACAGAAAAGAACTGCCTCTGAGCCCTGTGGTCGCCAGCTGGGTGGATCTAAGCTCCTGTGCCTGCTTGGGGCTTCCAGGCAACAAGCATTTATCAAGGCCCACCGGGCTCTGCCCCCGGACACAATGTCAGGAGAAAGTTCCTCTTGAGAGGTAGACCCTTATGGGTCACTGACTTGCCCCTCTGCAGCATCCTGTTCTGCAGATGGGGAAACCAAGGCCAGGAAACCAGAGAAGCCCACTCGAAGTCCATCCTGGCTGGGGACACCTGGGTGCTCACTGGAGTGAGGGAGAGGACGGAGGGCCTGGAAGCACACCTGGAACCTCCACAGTGTGCAGGTCTGGCCCCCAGGTCACTTAGGTTTGTCAACAGCGCCCCCTGCTGGCTGCCTGGGCCACCGGTGGCCCTTTGTCCTGGTGGGCAGTGGCCTGCCGACAGCAGGATGAAGGCCTGCCGGGCATGAGGTTTCTTTGTACTTCTCTTCTGTCTCCTCCAGCTAGGAGCTGAGCCAACCCAGGCCTTTGTGGGATGGGTCTCCCTGTCCTGGCTGGCTGTGAAAGTTGAATTCTCTATTGGAACCCTGGCTACCAGTGTTCACCCATGCCCCCACGTGGGACCCAGGCCTTCACTGCCGCATGGGTATCACATGGTGCCTGGGAGACCACCAGGGTCCTTTGGCTCTGATGGGGCCTGGCACCAGGAACTGAGATGGCCTTGCTGAAGGTGGCACTGTCTTGCTCCTGCTCTGGGCTCTCTGTGTCCTTGTCTTCCACACCATGGTTTGTCCCTGACCCCAGGAGCCTTTGTCATGTGGATGCTGGCTGAGGGTCTGTGTGGGTAAACTCAGGAGGACAAATACAGCTCCCGCTTGGGTGACCTACAGAAGTAGCAAGCGGAGCTGCCCTGATTACGCCCCTGCCAACCCAGACCATACACACACACACACATACACACACACACACACACACACACACACACACCTGTACCCTGTCCCCTCCCCAGGACCTGTTCAAGAGTAAAAACTGTAAAGGGAAAGCCAGGATTCTAGAGCTGGCTCCTATCCAACAAGCTGTAACCTCCAAGCCTTAGTTTCTTCATCTGTAAAATGGGGATGTAACTACATTTTCTTATCTGTGCTGTGCCTGGACCAGTACCTGACTCATAGGAGGAGCTCAGCACATGGTCATCTAGTAGGTAAATGTGGGCTTGGACCAAGAGTTCCTTGAACACAAGAAAATGATTTCATTTTAATCTCCGCACGCCCAACCCATCTGGCCTAGGACCCCGCACAGTGTCGTTATTAAAAAGCATTTTGGCCAGGTGTGGTGGCTCACGCCTGTAATCCCAGCACTTTTGGAGGCTGAGATGGGTGGATCACGAGATCAAGAGATCGAGACCATCCTGGCTAACATGGTGAAACCCCATCTCTACTAAAAATACAAAAAACTAGCCGGACGTGGTGGTGGGCGCCTGTAGTCCCAGCTACTCGGGAGGCTGAGGCAGGAGAATGGCGTGAACCCGGGAGGCAGAGCTTGCAGTGAGTGGAGATCACGCCACTGCACTCCAGCCTGGGCGACAGACTCTGTCTCAAAAACAAACAAACAAACAAAAAAGCATTTCTTGGAGAGAAGAAGCATGTACAGATGAGCAAGTGGAGACTAAAGATGTTTGAGTGGATGAGTAGACAGGTGAACAGGCGGGCATTTGTTTTTATTATTGTTACTTATTTATTTTTAAATTTTCTTTTTGGATGCTCCCTCACCCCCCTCCTCCTTCCCCAGGCAGGTATTTCGATAGATAAATGATGGGTGGAGAAATTGGGCTTCAGGGTGTGACATGTGTGATAGGTGGTGGGTGGGATGAATGGAGGGATGGTTGGCAGGGTGAGGGTGGAAGAAATAAATATGGGTACAACCCCCACTTTCCCCTTCTTGCTGTAGAGCTCCAGAAAGCACTTATCAAAAATACAAATTCCCAGATGACCCAGCAACTCCACTTCTGAGCCTATGTTCTCTAGACTAATTCACACACGTGTGATGTGCCGATGTGAACGGTTATTCCTGCAGCACTGCAATGATAAAAATTTGGAGCCGGGCGCAGTCGCTCACGCCTGTAATCCCAGCACTTTGGGGGGCCGAGGTGGGCAGATTGCCTGAGGTCGGGAGTTCGAGACCAGCCTGGCCAGTATGGTGAAACCCCATCTCTATTAAAAATATAAAAATTAGCCAGGCGTGGTGGCAGGCGCCTGTAATCCCAGCTACTTGGGAAGCTAAGGCAGGAGAATCACTTGAACCTGGGAGGCGGAGGCTGCAGTGAGCCAAGATCACGCCATTGCACTCCGCCTGGGCAACAGAGCGAGACTCAGTCTCAAAAAAAAAAAAATTGGAAAAAGCTTCAGGGTCCCTCGTTTCAGGCTGGAGTGTGAGCCCCCAGAGCAGAGGGGCCTTGTCTGAGGGCTCAAGCCTTAGAACAGCACCTGGCAGGGGGCGATGGGCAGATGTTAGTTGGATAATGCTTCATCATACCTAGGAATACTGTGCGGCCATTAAAAAATGAAAAGGTGGCCAGGCGTGGTGGCTCACACCTGTAATCTCAGCACTTTGGGAGGCCGAGGCAGGGGAATCACGAGATCAGGAGATTGAGACCATCCTGGCTAACACAGTGAAACCCCGTCTCTGCTAAAAATACAAAAAATTAGCCAGGCATAGTGGCAGCACCTGTGGCCCCAGCTACTTGGGATGCTGAGGCTGGAGAATCGCTTGAACCTGGGAGGCAGAGGTTACAGTGAGCCAAGATTGCGCCACTGCACTCCAGCCTGGGCGACAAAGTGAAACTCCATCTCAAAAAAAAAAAGTTCTTTGTGTCTTGATGTGGAATAAACTTTGAGATGTATCATCAAGAGGGGGGAAAAGAAAGCAACATCCAAATAATGTGTATAGAATGTTATTATTTTATGTTTTTAAAAATGTGGCAAGAAATAGTGTGTGTAGATATTTGCTTCTAGATGAGACTCTCCAGAAGGGGGACTGATGGCACTGGTTCTCCTAGAAAGGGCACCAGGGGACTGGGGACGGGGTCTGGACCCAGGACTCGATATCTTTGTGGACTTTCTGATTTTTGAACCATGCAAATGAATTACCTGTTCAGACACACATGGAGCAATGAGAATTGCACCAAGAGCTACACATCCTTTAAAGCAATTGGAGGAGGAACAGGACTTTCTTCCAAAGGCTGGGGCCAGGCAATGGTGTTGGGTCCCTCAACAAGCGTGTGTAGAAGGCAGACAGGCAGACAGGCAGGCAGACACAACCTACACTTCCACCAGCTGCGAGGACTTGGCACATCTGGGGCCTCAGTTTCCTCATCTCTAAAATGGAGATGATCCTGGCCTTAGAGAGTGTGTGTGAAAAGGAAAGGAGAGAATGCAGGTGTCCAGCACGTGAAAAGTCCTGGCTGACATGGCCAGAGATGAGGGGTCTTTAGTGGGGAGTGCGACAGAGTAGCAGGGAAGGCTTAGGGCCCCAGGTCTCCTGTCCAGCACCCTGGGTGTGATCCAAGTGTCTGCAGCCTGAACTGTCCACTGGGGGCAGGAGGGCAAATCGAACTGGCAGCGGGCAGTCTTCTGCCTTGGCCCAAGGACCTGGACCCCTAACAGTGGGTGGACTAGGGCTGTACAGTCCTTCCTCTCTCTACCTAGATCCCCGCCTTTGCTGTGTGGCCTCCCTGGAGCGGCCTGGGGACTCCCAGGGCTTTTTCGAGCCGAAGGAGCTTCCTCCACTTAGCTCTGTCATCCAGAGGGAAGTCCCATTCATGCTAATGGCCCTGAGCACTCCCTTCTCCTGCACTTCAGGAAGGGTGAGCCTAGTGCCAAGCCATCCCTGCACCCGCACTGTCAGCCTTGCACAGTGGAAACCGCGGGCTGGCAGTCAGGAACCCTGGCTCCTGGTGTGGGCTCAGACACCACTTGATGTGCCACCCTGGCTTTTCCCTTTCTGTCTCTCAGCCTCAGTTTCTTTATCTAGAAAATGGGTGTGGTGCTCATTCTTATCCTCCTTTTCCAGGAGGGCAAAGTGAAAACAACAGAGTTGTGAGTGGTTTGTAAATTATGAACAACTCAAAGCCTGAGGGACTGGGGGAGGGCAGATGCCACCTGAGATCTCCACTCAGAGCACATGTGCATGTGCATGTGCACTGAGGGTCGTCATATGGGAAGGTCCCCCTGCATGCACATGTATGAACACACACACACATACACACGTACACACACACACGTGGGCCAAGCCCTGAACCAGGAATCCAAGGGGAATTGCCACCCCCTCCACCACCCAAAACACACATGCGCATACAGAAATGTGTGCACCTGGCTGGGCGTGGTGGCTCACACCTGTAATCCCAGCACTTTGGGAGCCTGAGGTGGGCGGATCACCTGAGGTCAGGAGTTCGAGACCAGCCTGGCCAACATGGTGAAACTCCGTCTCCACTAAAAATACAAAAATTAGCCGGGTGTGGTGGTAGACACCTGTATTCCCAGCTACTCAGGAGGCTGAGGCAGGAGAATCGCTTGAACCTGGGAGGCAGAGGTTGCAATGAGCCGAGATCGCGCCATTGCACTCCAGCCTAGGTGACAAGAGCAAAACTCCATCTCAAAAAAAAGAAAAGAGAAGAAATGTGTGCACCTGCATGTGCAGTTCCTTATCCCCTGGTGGGCATGCCTGCCCAGTGCTCACATGTGCCACACATGGAAAGCACCCAGAAGCATTTCCTGCCCTCAGCCCAGTGGGGTACCCCAGGTGCAGCCCCACAGGGCCCAGCAAAGGACTCTGGAACCTGCCAGTGTTGTGGCCAGAGGGCAGTTGGGAGGCTGCTCAAGGTTGGCAGGCCTGGCGTGATCCAGTGACAACCTCTCCTTTCTCTTCGCAGGCTGGACAACGTTCATGGCTCTCGGGTAGAACCTAGTGAAACGGCCAGAATGAATTCTATGGACAGGCACATCCAGCAGACCAATGACCGACTGCAGTGCATCAAGCAGGTGGGTGTGGGGCAAGGCACACTCCGAGGGCGGGGCAGATGGGGCGGGCTGCAGCAGCAGGGCATCTGGTGGGTTCTGGCTGGAGACGATGGCAGGGCCTCCTGACCACCTACCTATCGAGGCCGTTATTGGCATGCTGGCACTGACCAGCCTAATGCTGGAATCACATGCCTGGGTTTCAGTGCCAATGCTGCCCTGTCCCTTTCCACACCCTTCCCAGCTGTGTGACGTTGGGCCAGTGTTGTGGCCTCTCTGGGCTCTGTTTATGTGCAAGGATGTAGTGATGCACCTGGCACTTCCATCTCTCTCCCACCACCTCCCTCCCTAGAACTAAGCTCCCTGCCCCTTTGCTCCAGTCGTTCTCAAAAAAAAAAAAAAAAAAAAAAAGTCACAGGCTGGGTGTGGCAGCTTACGCCTGTAATCCCAGAACTTTGAGAGGCCAAGGTAGGAAGATTGTTCGAGCCCAGCCTGGGTAACATAGCAAGACCCTGTCTCAGAAAAAAAAAAAAAAAAAAAAAAAAAGAAAGAAAGAAAGAAGGAAGGAAGGAGGGAGAAAGAAAGAAAAGAAATTAAAGCTGAGAAAATTTAAAAATATTTACTAATTTATTTAAAAATAAGAACCCATTATAGGCTGGACCCAGTGATTCACACCTGTAATCTCAGCGCTTTGGGAGGCTAAGGGAGGAGGATCACTTGAAGCCAAGAATTTGAAACCAGCCTGGGCAACATAGTGAGACCCCATCTGTATTTTTTAAAAAAAGAAAAAAAAAGCCACAAGACAAGAGGTCCTAGGAAATCATATCATTTTACAGGAAAGGAAACAAGTACAGAGAGGGGAAGTGGGTAGCCTGAGTCCACTCAGCCCCTCTGGTGCTGGGAAGACCTAATTCCAGTGAGTGCCATGGTCCCCACCCTGCTGAAGCTCATACCAAGCCCAAGAGGCAAGCTGCCCAGGAGTTCCCCTATTTGGACTGCCGGGAGGTGGGGAACCTTTCACAGGGGCGCCCCCAAGCGGTGGCCAGGAGTGACGTGCCCACCTGCTGGGCCCAGCTCCCACTGCCCAGGCTGGCAGCTTCCCTGCACAGACCCACGAATGTTATTCACTCCAGGAAGGACCAGGTACAGTGAGAGGGGCATGGGCTTTGGTGTCAGACGCCTTGGACCCAAGTGCTCATTCCTTTATGGACCCATGGTGAGATCTCAAGCTAGTCCTCCATTTCTCTGAGCCTCAGCTTCCCCATTTGTCAAATGGGGCCTACCTCGTAGGATGCTGTGAGGATGTTGTGGGTGATGCACGTAGCCCAGCCCTGGTGTGTGGTGTCCATTGTCCTCAGTATGTCAGTGACAGGGAAGGGAGTGCTGGGGCTCAGGCCCCTGGCCTAGGCCAGCTTAGCAGGAAGCTCAGGCAACCAGCATGGGCTGCTGGCCCCTGGGCTTCCGCCAGGCAGAACTCACAGCCCCCTACCCACCCAGCCTTCCCTCCTTGAGGGCCAGGACCCAGACGGAGCCTCCCCAAGGTGCCTGCCCAGTGGAACTGAGGCTGTTCCTCGAGAACGAGGGTTGTGTGTCTTCTTATTAGCATCGAGCAGAGGAATCTTAAAGTCTATGCAGGGTATGTGGAGAGGAAATTGAAGAAGGCTTGTTACAGATTGAACCCAGCCCAAATGGCTCTCCCAAACGCCAATTACACGCCTCTGTTCACCGTGGCAGAATAGAAACCAGACGCCAAGACTCCCTCCTCCCCCACACTCCCTCCTCCCACTCAGGGTTCTGCAGGGCTCTTTCCTAGCTCTACCTTTCACTCCGTTTCTCCCACCCTTGGCTCAGCTGGCAGGGGCCCCGCCCTCCAATGGAATGCTCATGCCTCCTGTGCATGGGACCCTCTGCATGGCAGGCACACCACTCCTGCCGAGACCTGCTCTCAGCCTCTTTCCTCTTGGCACCTAGCTCCGTATCACCAGGGGTCAGGGTGCACCTGACTTCTTTGGCCCTCCCTGGGTCCATCTTGGGCAGAGGCCCACCAGAAGCCCCTCACAGCATGGCACACAGCTCAGTCACCATTCCGTCGCTTACAAACTATGCAGCCTTAAGTTGCCGCTTCACTTCCCTTCATCTATAAAATGGGCATCATAATTAATTCACATTCAACCAGCACATGCCAGAGCCCACACCACCCTCCCTCACCTGCCCCGGCACACACATGCGTGCACACACACAGAGGGCTCTGCTTTTGAGCCAGGCAGTGGCGCATTTGTGAGTGTGCCCAGATGCCCCCTGGGCCATCCAGAGCTCCCTACGTGCTCCATGCCCCTCCTCCCACATCTCCGGTCAGACACAGCTCAGTGCTGACATCTGTCTGCTCCACAGCTGCCCTAGAAGTCAGCCTCGGCTGGCTGGGGACTGTTGATTCTCAGGCATCCTGTAACCTAATCAGAAGAGAAAGGCAAGCATGTGTGCACGAGCTGAGATGACGAGCTGTGCAGACCTCAGGCTGGTAGGGGCTCACCTCTCCACACAGCCTTCCCTTCCTGCCCTCACCTTGGTTGTAGCCTTTGCTGGCGTTCACCAACCCCCACCCTCTGCACCCTGCTGCCCATGTCCCCTCACAGCCTCTATCTAAGCTGCCTTTGCCCCTTCTCAGCCTCTTGGTACTGGGAGAACCAGTGCTCCCTCTCTGCAACATGCCCTTCTCAGAGATCACTGCCACATCCCAGCTCTACATGGAGAGCCCTGCAAATCAGCTCATTCCTGCTCAGCAGCTGCCCTGAACCCCAGGGGCCCTTCTGAGCATCTGTACCCCATCCCTGAGCTTGAACACTTCCTGGGCACCCAGCTGTCTCACCTACTCTGCTCTGTCTCTCTGGAGCTATGGGCCCTGTAGGAATACATCAGGTCTCCCACCAGGTTGAGCTCCTTGGGGGCAAAGGACATGCCATATTCATCTCAAAATCACAGAGTCTAGCATAGCATCCAGCTCAGAGTGGGGCCCAGCTATTTTAGGTGGGCTGAGGAGAGGGGTGGACTGATAGATGGATACATAAGAGAATGGATGGATGGACATATGGGCAGATAGTTAGATGGGTGGGTGGGTGGACGTGTATAGATGATGAATGGATAAATAGATGAATGAACAGATAGGTGGGTGACTGGATAAATTAACTTCTGGATGAATGGGTAGATAGGTAGATGAATGAAGGGATGGATGAGTGGTGGATAAAGTGGTGAATGGATGAATGGGTGGGCTGGCAAGGAGACAGATGGATGAATTGATTCATTTAGGATGGATGGATGGATGGATGGATGGATACACGCATAGATGGATGAATGGATGAATCACTTGATTCACAGATGGACTGGTGGACAGATGGATTGATAAGATGAATTCATCATTTCAAGGCATTGGTGTGCCCTGTTCCTGCCCCAGCAGACTCAATGGCATTGGATATAGCCCAACTCTTCTGAGGAATTATAGAGATGGGCAGGCTTTCTGATGGGGGACAGAGTACTAGTGTCCAGTAACAGCCATAATTAGGGAGGCCTCTGCCTATGATTCAAACATGTGCTCCCATCCCCAGCCCATCAACGGCTGGCCAAGCTCACCCCTGCCCTGCCCTGGCCCCTCCCTCCACCTCCCACTGGGGCTCATTCTGCAGTGGCCATGTTGCTGGCCTACACAGCAGGCTCACCATCCTTTGGACAGTTAACTGCTCCCCAATCATTTCCCATGGGGTTCAGCCTTGTGCCAGCCTTTGGGGTTCCAGAGGTGAACAGGAGGCTGTTTCTCCCCTCAGGAGGCTCAAAAGAGAAACAGAGAACCGTGGAGGGGCCCTGGCATCAACAGCAGTAGCAGTCTTTCCCTGGGCTCCTGCTCTGTAATGAGTTCCTTGTCGTTTCTCAACTTTGCGGCAGCCCTGAATGCCATCACTACCCCGTTTCACAGATGAGGGTCTGATGTGCAGCAATGTCTCCTGGGCTGCATGGCTCAGCAGCTGAGACGGGGTTTGGACCATGTCTGTTCTGCTTATCTCACTAGATCACTTTGTCTCTCTGTGCACTTCAGTCACCTCTTGGTTGAAATAGGTGACAAGGGCACAGAGAGGGGAGGGGGCTTGACCAAGGCCAAAGAGCTGCACAGTAGCCATCATTGTATTCCCAGCACTTTGGGAGACGGTGGTAGGAGGACTGCTTGAGCTCAGGAGTTTAAGACCAGCCTGGGCAACATAGCAAGACGTCGTCTCTGTTAAAAATTAACAACAACAACAAAAAGTAGCCAGGCATGGTGGTGCACACCAGTAATCCAAGCTACTTGGGAAGCTGAAGTGGGAGGATCACTTGAGCCCAGGAGATTGAAGCTGCAGTGAGCTATGATCGCACCACTACCCCCCAGCCTGGGTGACAGAATGAGACCCTGTCCAAAAAAAAAAAAAAGCCAGCAAAGGGGACACTTGATGTTTTCTTCAGCAATGAGGTGTACCCACAGCCTACAGGCCACACAAGCTGTCTGGGGTGAGCTCTGAACGCTGGTGAGATACTGAAGGCTGGGCACTCGGGTGCCAGAACCAGACTGGGCCTCTGAGATGGACCTCAGAGGCTACCCCTGCACCCAGAGCCCCAAAGTGGGGTGCTGTGACCAGCTGGGGGCAGGCAGCTCTGAGGCAGCATGCAGTGGCTCCTGCCCCTGCTAATTTGGTGTGACATCACTGAAATAAACAGAACAACTCGGTTAGCAGGGGTGGCTGGTGGGCAGGAATCAGCTGATTTGCATGGCTTTCCACGTGCAGCCTAGATACCACCTGTGGCCTCTGAGGGGCATGCTTTAGAGAAAGGGCACAGGAGGCAGAGGTGAGGACCCGCCGCTGCCCTCTCAAAGGGCTTGTTTCTGTATGTTGAAATTACTCCTGTCTCACACAATTCAAATGCAGGGAGCACTGCCTTTGCAGAAGGAGCCAGGGCTGAGAGCGGCCACATGCAGCTGTACTTCCAGGAGAGCCTTTGGGAGACAGAGTCAGGGCCAAGGGCAGCCCCACATGGGAGCACCCCACGCGCCAGGCACTTTGCCAGGGGCTGTATAAGCCTCATCTTGTTTAAGCCTCACTGCGGCCCCGTGATGGAGGGCTTTGTTGCTGCTTGCCTGCCCTCTTTCTCTCCTACATCTCTTTCTCTCCCTTTACTTCCATGGAAGGAGGACATTCTCCTTCATTTCACTTTCCTCCACCCATTTTTAAATACCTTGCCTCGCATGAACTACATTGTAGCAACAGTCACGGAACCTTAAGCGAAAGAAATAAAACCCCACCACCAAGTCATGTTCTGTCATATCCCCATTTTACAGATGAGGCTACTGAGGCTCAGGGAGCTGAGGGGACCATCCTACGTCAGTGGTTGAAAGTGGGTGAAGGCAGAGTGTGGATTCCCGTAGCTCCCCTGCCAATTCTGGGCCCTGCGGCTCCTAGGCCCCTCCCTGCCCTGGCGCTGGGGCAGGCTCATGCTGCAGGTCGAATGGAGGGACTGCCCTGGGTGGCTCCTGTTCTGTTGTTTCTCCCAGTACCAAGGCAATGGGACCTCAGGAGGTGCCATCATCTCTGCAGTGGTTCACACTCCTGTGCTGTGGACACCCTCCAGGGGTCCTTCAGGAGGACACAGTCAGTTACAGCCAAATTGGGCCAGAGCCCCATCCCAGAATCTCACCTTTGCCCCTAATCTGCTCCTTGCTCCTAGCCACATCTTTTGTCTCCTGGACTCAGTACCCAACTCAGAGGGCCTGAGGAGACGGATAAGAGTGAAGGGGGGCATGGGAACCACCCCTTTGCTTTGCACCTCACCCACCCCACCAGCCCTGCAGCCTGGGCCTGAAGCGGAACCAGGAGGCCCAGCACCCTGGCACCAGAATTCAGTCTCCATCGACTCAGACTCTGCCTGGCAGGGGCCTGAGCTCAGGCTGACTTCCCCAACCATGCCAGCAGCCTCTGAGCGGACCCAGGCAGGGCCCAGTACGTCACACACAGCAGCCCCTAGTGTGAGGACAGTACAGGCACGTGTGCTTCCTTCACCCTCCCAGCTGGCTGTGGCCTCCCCCAACCCATCACCTTATGTGGCTAGGGCAGAGCAGGCTCCAAAGCCAGAGCTGGTGGGAGCCCAGTCCTGGGCTTTGATGGCGGTGGCTGGGCAGTCAGGAAGGAATCTCCAGGGCCAACCTGTCCTGGATCAGGGAGGGAGAACTCCCGGAACCCTGCAGGGATCACCTTCCGCCACCCCCACCAGCATCCAGAAAGCACTCTGCTATTAGTCACCAGCCTTCTCTAGACCTTGGTTTTCCTGTCTTTGCAATGGGGCTACTAATCCACTGGGGTGGGGATGGGGGTAGAGGTGGAGGTGAGGGTGGGGGTGGAGGTGGTGGGGGTGGAGTGGAGGTGGATCGGGGAGGTGGGGTGGAGGTGGGGGTGGGGGGGGGTGGGAGCAGGCATGCCGAGCACAGGGTGTGAAATCGAGCATGAGGAAACTTACTGATCCCAGCTACCCCTTTACCCCTTTCTGTGAACCTCCTCCCCAGTGAGGCTGGGTTCTTCCCACCCCAGACCCCCACACGCTGCCTGTGCTACCCTCACTCTTGGAGCCTCAGCCGCCTCCTTTTCCTTTCCCACAGCACTTACAGAATCCTGCCAACTTCCACAATGCCGCCACGGAGCTGCTGGACTGGTGCGGAGACCCACGGGCCTTCCAGCGGCCCTTCGAGCAGAGCCTGATGGGCTGTTTGACGGTGAGTCTGCACCCTGTCCGCCTGCATTCCTGCCCAGGAAGGTCAGCTGAGTGCTAGCGTGCCTGTCCAGGTTTCAGAGAGGTTGTCAGACATTGGGAGGTGACACCAGTGAGAGAGCTGGGAAGACACTGGTGCTGGGGGGATGGCCCTATTTGGTGTGTCCCCCACGTGCACACCCTCAGGGGACCTGGAGTTGATGAGGAGGCACAGTCCCTAGGGATTGTGTGGGTTCCCACACTTGATGAGAAAGACGCAGTGTTCACTTTGCAGGTCACTGTTCCATCATAAGCACAGTAGAGAAACTCTCAAAGGGTTTTCAGCCATTTTTTATCCAGTCATTCATTCATTCATTCACTTAGCAAACATGTATGGAGCTTCTTTTGTCATCATCCATCCATTCAGGTAAGCATTGATTGAGCCCCTCTTACATCCATCCGTCTAACCAAATGAGCATTGATCTCTCATTGATCATGTATGATCCCTCTGCTAAGTCCAGGGAAACTGAAGATGAATAAGGCTTCACCGAGCCTGGTTTCCTCTGTAGCGGAGGAGGCAGATGTGTAAAGAAGTGACTGAGAAAATCATGTCCACAGTGAAGGCAGCACAGGGAAGGGAATCCTGAACTGGCTGGGTGGCGGGGCAGGGTGCATAAAACTGAGGAAAGGAGCTACCCTCCATGGGCAGGAGTCTGCAAAGCAGCAGAGGGGCAGGAGTGCTCGGGGCACAAGCAGCAGAGGGGGCAGGAGTGCTCGGGGCACAAGCAGCAGAGGGGGCAGGAGTGCTTGGGGCACATGGAACAGCATCTGCAAAAGGCCACACACCCGATGGAACCCAGAGAACAGGAAGGGTCGAGGCTGCAAGCTGGGCAGAGGCCAGGTCCAGAGTTTGTGGTATGATCGGCCAGGCTAAGGAGCTTGCCAGCCAACAGGGCCCCATGGAAGTCACTCGAAGCTTGAGAATGTCCCCAGCCATGTGGCCTGTGTCCATATGTGTGATGACCAGGGAGGGCAGCTGCTCAGAAGGCCCTGAGTCCACTTTGAAAGGAATGTGGGTAAACAGATGGCAGGGGAGCCCGCCTATCCTGAGGCTGGGAGAGGATGTCTGGCCAGGCGGGAACAGCGGGCATGGCCCACGGGCACCAGGCTTCCTGAAAAGCTGGAAGGAGACAAAAGGCCCACATGGCCTTGGCCTGGAGAGGAAGAAATAGCGGCAACACGGCTATCGTGACAAAGCATCTGTTCTGTGCCTGGCAGGGAGCCGGCCCACAGAATACACCATCCCACCAAATCCCCTCAGTGAGCTTGGCCTGCAACCCTCCCCCACATTTTACAGAGGAGGAAACTGAGACTTTTAACTGACTTCCCAAGGGCGCACAGCCTTAGAGGTGGGCCTGGGATTACAGCCGAGGCCTGCCTGTCTTCAGAGGGGATGCCCTTGGCCATTAGGGATGCCAGACAGGGATGCAGCCAGGACCCTCCTGGGGCTGCTCAGCTTGTCAGAAGCCAGCACCATCTGGCTCCCTCAGGCCACCGGGCCAAATCGAGCAGCCACCTGCACTGCCCAGTCTTCCTCATCCTTCAGCCCATGGGATCCCCTTCTCCCTCCGCCCCCCCAGCCCCCTAATCCTCTTTGTGGGGATCTGGTTCCAGGCTAAGCCATGTGGGCAGGGACAGATGTTGCCAGAGGCTCCCTCACTTCTACCCCAGCAGAGGATGGAGGAGGTGGGAACCTTGTGTGACGTGTGTCCAGCCAGGCTGCCACAGTCTCCAGCACATTGCCCCGAGCCTGACCCTGTCTATCTAGGATGTGGGGACTTGAGACTGAATCAGAGAGTGGCCCTCACCGGCCTGGATGGACCAGGAACTGGCTCTGCCTCGGTCCTCTTGTCCATGCGTTCATTCATGAACATTCACTGGGCTCTTGTTGGGGGACAGGCCCTGTGCTGGGCCCCAGAGGGACCATTGTCAAGGGGCTGGCCTGCCAGGGGGAGCCTGACATTGAACCCACAAAGGAGCAAACAGGGACATATGCCAGAGCTCTGGGAGAAGGGGCAAGGGTACAGGGCAGGAAATGTCTCCTGAGGAGTTGACCTCCTTGGGAGGATGAGAGAGCAGGGTGCTCCAGGCAGAGGGAACTGCTAATGCAAAGGCCCTGAGGCTTGCTGTGTTCATGAACAGAAAGAAGGCTCAGGTGGCTGGAGCCCAGGGAAGGGAGAAGCATGTGAGATGAGGCAGAGGAAGGAGGTGTAAAGCAGCTAACACAGGGCCCACAGGCCAAGCGAAAGTCTGGGCATTATTTGGAGGGCAATGGGGAGCCCTTGAAGGGTTGTCAGCAGGAGAGTGATGGGCTATGATTTGTATGGGGGCAGGAGCTCTGAAGGGAGCATCTTTTGAGGGCAGGATGGAGGGATCATGGAGGGCTTCCTGGAGGAGGGAGCCCAGAGAGGGCCTCATGAGATCTGGCTGGACAGAGAGGAATCCATGGCAGGAGAGGCTGCATAGACAGTGCCCACTCTCCTGGGCCTCTGTTCCCTGCCTCCAGTGTAAGGCATGTACCTAGTGGAATGGCCCCCACTCCTGCAGCCTGGCCACAGCTGCAGAGACCTGAGTCTAGCTTCCCTTAGAGCTCAGTAGAGCCAGCAGCTTGAAGGGGCTTGGTGGCGGGTAGTGGGGATTGTCATAAACGACACTTCAGTGCTCAGGGTATTTTCCCTAGCCACTGTCTCTTTGGATCCTTGTAAAGACCCTTTGAGGTGGGCAGGGAGTCACCACTCCCATTTTACAAACAAGGCCACTGGGAGCAGGAGCAGCTTACCCTAGTCCCAGGCTGGTCCCACAGACTCCCTGGGAGCCTCTGGGCCCTGTTGCCGGTGCCCCTGTTCCCCAGGCATCCTCAGCCCCAGCCCTGCCCCATGGAGAAGAACGGAATGTGGGAGGTAGGTCCCAAGGGACCTAGGTGGGGCAAGACAGCTGTCCCCTCCCCACACAAACGCACACACACCCTCCCTATCCAGGTGTCAGCCTGAGCCCTCCAGGTTGCTGCAATCCCCGGGGTGACCTCTGGAAGCAAACTCCAAATTCCTCTGGATCCGGCTTACTTTGAGGATATAAATTAAAAATCACTTAGCCCCGAGCAGCAAATGGACACATTTCTGTCATACTCACTTCTAAGCAGCTCAGGCACAATTAAAGTGACCCCAGACCTGGCCCTGCCATCCCGTCTGCTTCACATCTTGAGACTTAAGGATGCGGAAGCACAGGACCCCCAGGCCCTGCCCCAGGGGCCGGCACAAGCCCCGGGCCACCACTTCCTCATCAGAAGCAGGCCCTTCCTCCTCCAGTAGTCGGGCAGAGCAGCCCCTCTGGGCGCCCTCTCCCTCCCGTGGGCTTAGGGAACGGCGGAAGACAGAGGAGACAGTGGGAGAGCAGGTCCAGGAGGGAACCGGGTTTCACATCAGCAGGCCTCTCCTTCATCTCCCCAATGAGGACGCCCTGCAGCTTCAGAGGAGGTCAGAGTCAGAAAGACTTTTCGGGTCCCGCCCCCTGCCAGTAATGGAGACCCCTTCTCCAGCATTCCCTAGACAGCCTGTCCTCCTGTTTTGTGACCAGCAGGCTGGACGCTTTTCAAGACAACTCAGTTGCTTTGTGGGACTAATGTAATTCACCACGTGACCTTAAGCAAGTCACCCGTCTTCTTCTTTTTTTTTTTAATTTTTTTTAAATTTTAGAGACAGTGTCTTGCTCTGTCGTCCAGGCTGGAATGCAGTGGCACGATCATTGCTCACTGCAGCCTTGACCTCCTGGGCTTAAGCGATCCTCCTGCCTCAGCCTCCTGGGTAACTGGGACTACAGGCACCTGCCACCATGCCAGGCCAATTTTTAAATTTTTTTTTAATTTTTTTCTTAAAGGTGGGGCCTTGCTATGTTGCCCAGGATGGTCTCAAACTCCTGGGTTCAAATGATCCTCCCACCTCAGCCTCCTAAGTACCTAGGTACCACTGGCCTACACCATCACACCAGATTAAAAAATTTTTTGCACAGATGGGGCTGGGCATGGTGGCTCATGCCTATAATCCCAAGCACACCTGAGGTCAGGAGTTAAAGACCAGCCTAGCCAACATGGTGAAACCCTGTCTCTACTAAAAGTACAAAAGAAAATTAGCTGGACGTGGTGGCACACGCCTGTAATCCCAGCTACTCGGGTAGCTGAGGTAGGAGAATTCCTTGAACTCAGGAGGCGGAGGTTGCACTGAGCTGAAATCGTGCCATTGCACTGCAGCCTGGGCAACAGAGCGGGACTCTGTCTCAAAAAAAAAAAAAAGAAAAAAAAAATTTGTGTACAGATGAGATCTTGCTATGTTTGCCAGGCTGGTCTTGAACTCTTGGGTGTAAGCTATCCTGCCTCAGCCTCCCAAAGTGCTGGGATTACAGGTGTGAGCCACCATACCCAGTCAAGTTCTCCGTCTTGTGTCTGGACTTTAGTTTCCCTGTCTGTGGCGTGAGGCTGGGTTCCCTGACCTGTGAGGTCCCCTGGCTCTAGGGGTCTAGGTGTCTGGCAGCCAGGATGACAGGGCAGCCTCAGGAGTGCTTCCCCCTGCCACCCCCACCCCGCCACCGTGGGTCAAGCAGCAGTACCTGGACAGCCAACAGAGGGTCACAGCGCCCCAGCCACTCACACTGGCCTTTATGGGGAGGGGGCCTTGCACCCTATAGGACCTTCACAGAGAGCATCATGACCACTGGGGTGAGAATGGGCCTCTCTGAAAAACAAGCTGCACAGCTGAGCCCACGCTCCCACCACTGTCAGTCAGACCTTGCCTCACAGAACTTTCTGGGGGTCCTCAGGCTGGGCCAGAGGAACCCAGGGGATAGGAATGCATGAGGCACTCTAGGGTTACAGGATTTGATTCAGCTCACTCTGCCATACCTGTGCTCTGTGGCCTTGAGCACGGTCCTGCCCTCTCTGGGCCTTGACTTCCTCATCAGTGAAAGGAGGCTATTGGAGCCAGTGACCCTTCTGAATGCTGGGGCACAGGGGACTTGGTGACAAGCAGAGACTCCCTGCTCCAGCACCCACCCGGCTGGCCCTTAGAGCCGCCATACAGCACCAAGCCCCTCTAGCTCAAGTTAGCTAGTATTTTTTCCTTTTTAACTAGAGCAACAGGATTAGCCAGTATTGGCCAAACATGGGGACTTTTGCCTTCCTGCCCTGAACCCAGGGCCTGAGGGTCCTCAGTGCAGGTTGGAAGTTATGGCGTTAACCCTTTGTGGACTGAGAAAGAAGTCTTAGCACAGAAAGAGCCCAGAGTTTTCAGCTAGACTGCCTGGATCACATCCTGTCTCTGTCACTGACCAGCTTTGAGGTGTTGTTCAACCTCTTTCCTCATCTGTAAATCAGAGATAATAATAATAATACCTATCTCGTGGAGCTGCTGAAAGAATTTGCACTTTGTTGCATACAAAGCACCTATGTACGTGGGAGCCAGCATTTTCACTGCAGCACTTGTAAGCATCAGTGTTTCCCATTGACAGCAGCCTCACTACTGCACCAGTCGAAACAGGCCGCTCTGTGCTCACAGGCATCCACCTGAAGTTCTACAAAGAGGGAGGGCACCAGAGTCCACGTATGAGCTGCAGTGGTCCCTCCAGCCCAGAATCTTCCTCCTCACTCTCTGGAGGAGAGTCTGCCTGCAGACTTGAAATATTCAACAGGCCATAAAGAGTTAGGGACCTTGGTTTTTCTATGTGGACAGTGAGACTTATGGTGAGGATGTCCCAGAGACTGGGACATGTAGAGGGGCAAACAGAGCCCGTGGGAAAGAGGCCTAAGGAGTGTGGAAGACTTCTGTGCCAGGGGCTTCTGTTTGCAGCAGAGACGTTGAGCAAGCATCCTAACCTAACAACATCCTTTTTCCTCCCAACCTGGCTCAAACATTAGCCCTACACAGAGGGGCGCAGGGAGGGCCACAGTCCCATTCCAAGAGTCACTGGTGATCCTGGGAAGGGGAACCCATTGGCTCCTCCCTGATTTAGCACGGGACATTTCTCTGAGTCTCCAGTGTTGTTTTAAATTGGCCTAGGTAAGTGGTGTTCCCAGCCCTTTTAGCCCCAGAGCCCCTTTCACAAATTCCTGAGATTTAAGGCAGGCGTGGGGAACGATTCTGTTGGATCTAGGGGCCAGGCCAAACCCCATGGCAGTCTGAGGCCCCTCCAGGCGCCTCTGGAGCAGGTGGTTCCTGGGGGCTTGGCAGCAGAGTCCCCCCTTTTTCAGAAGTACCAGCCTACCACATCTGGGTGCTCTCCCTACTCAGCCATAGCCACTCCAGCTGCTTTCTAAATGACTCCATTTTCCAAGGTCCTTCTTAATAAAGAAAGCTAATTTTGCTGCTGTTCATGAGGAAGGCGGGTGTGAGGGAGCAGATCTGGGAGTCATGGGACACCTGGGAATGGGTGGGGACAGAGTGAAGCCAGAGCGGCAACAGCTTGCAAAGCCACCCAAGGGTCCCCTGGAGCGCCCCGTCCCACACTGCCCCCCAGGGGACCGATGGCCCTCCCAGTCTGCCGCCTCTCACCCTGCCAGTCCCTACTTCTGAGATTTTAAGGAGATGGGTGGGACCTTCAGGCTCCAAACACACCATTGCTGTTATGGAAGCCCCCCATTTGCTGGGGCTTAAGGCTAGAGACAGACCCCAGGCTGAGCGTGGGAGTCCTGCGGTTTCTAGCTGAGGTTGAGGGGGCTGCAGGGTGCTTGGCACGGAGCAGCATTACAATGCCTGCCCCATCCCGGAAGCCTTAGTCGATTAAGCAGCTCTGACCTGAAGCCCTGTGGGAAGCAGCTTGTTCTAAATCACCGCTTTTTTTTTTTTTTTGAGAAGGAGTCTTGCTGTTCTGCCCAGGCTGGAGTGCAGTGGTGCGATCTAGGCCCACTGCAACTTCCCCATCCCAGGTCCAAGCGATTCTTCTGCCTCAGCCTCCAGAATTGCTGGGATTACAGGCGCCTGCCACACACTCGGCTAATTTTTGTATTTTTAGGAGAGACGGGGTTTCACCATGTTGCCCAGGCTGGTCTCGAACTCTTGACCTCAAGTGATCCACCTGCCTCAGCCTCCCAAAGTGCTGGGATTATAGGTGTGAGCCACCACACCTGGCCTAAATCACTGCTTTAGATGAGATGCATGCTGACTCGGAGGGGCAGGGCTGGGCCTAAGAGTCTGCATTTGTAACAGGCCCCCCTGTGGTGCTGATAGCCCTGGAGTAGGAAGGGCAGTGAGCCCTCCCCAGTAGTGGGTGCAGGAGCTCAGTGAGGGGTGGGGGAGTTCCTGAGGGCCCAGGGCATGGAAGGGAGATGGAAGAGCCACACAGATGGAGCAGAGACCCTTAGGGCCCACCCTAAGGATGGTGGTACAGGATCCCCAGCCGACTTCTAAAATGTGGTCGAATCTGAGCCCTTGGAAGCGGCGGGGCCTATGGCTTTGGTGTTGGACCCATCGTCAGCCTGGGAAACCCCTAAGGACGGGGCCAGGATCCCAGGGCCTGGCACGGAAGAGGTGTTCATCAGTATTTGCTGAGCAACTGAAGAAGGCACAGTGGACTTCTGGCTCTGCCTAATGATGGGGCACTGCCTTAGCTTGCCCACCTCACCCACTTCACCTGCAAAATGGGCATATCCATTGGCTCTGGGCTCCGTGACTCACCTGCCCTCCTCCCCTCTTGCTTTCAGGTGGTCAGTCGGGTGGCAGCCCAGCAAGGCTTTGACCTGGACCTCGGCTACAGACTGCTGGCTGTGTGTGCTGCAAACCGAGACAAGTTCACCCCGAAGTCTGCCGGTAGGTGTCCGTGGGGGACTCTGCGATGTCACTGGGAGGTGGGGAGGGGAACTGACTATAAACCATGCCTGTTTGCTGCCCCTGCCTTCTGGTGCCTCCATTTGTCTAGGTGTAGTGCGAACCCCTGAGGAAGAGCAACTCATCCACCAGGCTCTGGGACCCACAGTTGGGGCTGTCCTCGTGCCTCTCCCAGGGAGTATACTTGCCTCAGGGGTACTGCAGGGCCAGAGAGGCTCCCGAGGCACACCAAACCCAGCAGTAGGCACTGTGCTACAGGCAGGACCAGCATCAGCTCACTCCATCACCACGGTGACCCCTTGGCATAAGCACTGTGAGCTCCCCATTTTACACATGAGGAAACTGAGGCTCACAAACACAGAGGAGATTTCCCAAGGCCACACAGCTGGAAGGCAGCAGAGCAGGGATTTAAGCCTAGGCCTGTACTTCAGAGTCAGCATTCTTAACCTTTATACTCCACTACGTTCATTCATTCCCCAAAAATTGTTTAAAATGAAACACAAAAGTCGAAACAAAATGAATCAGTACACTCAGGGTTCCGTATTGCAACTTTGTCATCACCTGCGGTCTCCTGACCTTGCAGTAAGCAGGGGCCATGGAGAGTGCCAAGCAGCATTCTGTCTGGGAGGGCTTTGAGCACTTTAAAGATACAGTTTTATTTTACATTTCCCACCATCCTCATAACCTGGCTTAGGCCACAGGCACCCTGCTAGCTTTAAGCCGGACAGACCTGTCACTTGCTAAGTGTGTGGTCTCTGAGCCTCAGCTGATCTTTCTGGGAAGGCAGGAATGGTAAGGAGACTCCTGACTTCAGGGGTCATTGTAAGTGCTAGAAATACATAAAGTGCAGGCCGGGCGCGGTGGCTCACGCCTGTAATCCCAGCACTTTGGGAGGCCGAGGCGAGCAGATCACGAGGTCAGGAGATCGAGACCATCCTGGCTAACACGGTGAAACCCCGTCTCTACTAAAAATACAAAAAAAATTAGCCGGGTGTGGTGGCGGGCGCCTGTAGTCCCAGCTACTCAGGAGGTTGAGGCAGGAGAATGGCGTGAACCCAGGAGGCGGGGCTTGCAGTGAACCGAGATCGCGCCACTGCACTCCAGCCTGGGTGACAGAGGGAGACTCCGTCTCAAAAAAAAAGAAAGAAAGAAATACATAAAGTACCTAGCACCGTGTCTGGATATTGTTAACATTCCTTATGGAGTCAGGACAAGCAGTTGAAAAAGAAAAAAAGAAACAGTTATTTCCCTTGTATAACAATAAAATGGACGTTTTCACTGAATTCATCAGTCAGTTCTTTGGAGTGTATATAGACACAGCCTTCATGAAAACGTTGTAAGGACATCTCATGATGTGTTTCCATAAATCTGCTCAATTTATAATCTCTTGCGTGTGAGTTTGCGCCTCTTTCCATGTATGTTTCCAGTCTGCACACATGGATGGCGCTGCACACATAGATGTGTGGTGGCCTCATTAGCCAGTAGCTACTCTGAGACCCTGGACATGCCCGCCTGCATTGGGATATTGCTATCGTATTGAACTGCTTGCTAGAAAATGGTCTTGGAATCTCACAAGGGACATCTATTCCTGATGGAGTGTGCAGTTTTAATAATGACTTAAGTCAATACAATGTTGACAGGGTAGAAATGACTTATCAAAGACACATACCTCTTAAGTGCCCGTTCTGTGCAGGCACCCAGCAAGGGCTGAATTTGCAAGGGCAACTAAACAGAAAGGGTCCTGCCTTAAGAAACTTATAGTCCAGAGCAGGGGCCACCAAGCTTTTTTCCATCAAGGGCCAGACAGGGGCTTTTGGGGGCTCTGTGAAAGCTGCCATAGATAGTACATAGAGGAGTGGGGTTGGCTGGTTCCACGAAAACTTTATTTATGAAAACAAGTGCTGTGTGCAGTGGCTCACACCTGTAATCCCAGCACTTTGGGAGGCTCAGGCAGGTGGATCACTTGAGTTCAGTAGTTCGAGACCAGCCTGGGTAACATGGCGAAACCCCATATCTACAAAAAAATACAAAAATTAGCTGGGTGCGGTGGTGCACGCCTGTGGTCCCAGCTGCTTGGGAGGCTGGGGTGGGAGGATCACTTGAGCCTGGGAGGTGGAGGTTGCAGTGAGTCAAGATCGAGCCACTGCATTCCAGCCTGGGTGATAGAGTAAGACCCTGTCTCAAAACAACAACAACAACCAAGAAACAACAACAAAAAAACCTAGTGATTAACTATACTTCTTGACCCCTAGTCTAGAGGGAGAGGAAAACATTGATCAAATAATTAGAGGGGTGTGTGTGTGTGTGTGTGTGTCTGTCTGTCTGTCTGTGTAAGCTCAAGCTGTGATAAGTGCCTTGAAGGAAAAGTAAAAGTGAAGGATGGCAAGGGGGTGTTGTTGAGGGCAGACCACTCTGGGGTTGCAGCAGTCTCCCCTGAGACCTGAAGGTTGAGTAAGTGAAGAAAAAGAGAAAGAGCGTCTTTGCAGTTAAGGGGACAGCCTGTGCAAAGGTGTTGAGGTAGAAGGGGAGCATGCACGGCTTTTTGTCAGAACTAAGAGAAAGGCAGTGATTCTGGAGCCCAGAGGCAGGGGGTACATGGCAAAGGCGAGGCTGGAGAGGTCAGCAGCAGCGGAAACATTCAGGGCCTGTCTTGGAGGTCACAGTCTTTGTCCTGAGAGTAATGGGAACATGGCTAAATGCTCATTTTGTGATGACAGCTCGGGCTATAAAAGAACAGATTGCACGGGGGGTGGGGGGACGTGGAGGCCTGCCTGGATGTAGGTGGCCAGTTGACAGATCACTGGGAGGTCGGGGTGAGGATGATGGTGGCTGGATCAGGAAGACAAGAGTGGAATGGAGACAGAGGGATATTTAAGAGGCAAAACTATGCCACAGAGGGAGAAGGAGACCTGGAGAATGGGCTGTCCCAGGAGCCCAGTGCCTCCCCAGAGGAGCAGGAGAGACTCAGGTCTCTGTGCAGTCCCTCCACAAAGGGTCACTGAAACCCCTGCCCTGCTGGCACGTGCTGGGTGTTCTCATATGTTTTGTGGTGGTGCCAAGCTTTGTGAGACACAGAATACTATCTACATTTATGGATGAAAAAATGGAAGCTCAGAGAGGTCCTATGACTTCCCTGAGGTCACCCAACTCATAAGTAATAGGCTGGAACCTGAACTAGCCTCCTGGCTGCAGGCCCAGGGCTCTGCCTGCCCCATCACACCAGGCCTGGGCAGCCCTCCATTTCCTTTGGAAAGAGCCCTTCATGCTGCTCAGGGGTCTCCAGCAAGGCCTCTGAGTGGCATTCCCAGCATCACTTCTTCGCTTGAAACAGGGATTTGTTCTTTCCTCCATCTGCACCCCTGCTTGAACACAGCCTTTGTAATTTAGAAAGCCCTTTCCCATGCATTGTGTCTGTGAACTCACGTGACACTCTGACACTATGCAGGCTCCCAGGGATGAATTCTCAGTGTACCCATTCTGCAGCTGAGAACACTGAGGCACAGCAGTGCCTGTGGCTTGGCCATCCTCAGATTTCCTTATTAGGAGTCAAACCCTTGTCAGTGCCCACAGCCATGACTAACTACCTTTCAGGGCCACCCATCCAGATATATGGGCTCTCGGGATCCCAGCCACCCCCTGCTTGCCCCATCTTCTGGAAAGGAAAGGGGGCCAGTCTGAGGAGGAAGCCTCTACCTGGCGGTTTTATTTGAGGGGTGAAGGACCTGCCAGGAGCAGGCTGGGCCATAAGAGGGGTGGAGGCCATGGGGAGCAGAGCTGGGACCCCAAGTCCCAGACATGGCACCGGCGCCAGGCCTCCTCTTGGCCACCTCTCCAGGCTGTGGCCTCGTCTGTGAAGAGAGCTGATTTGCCCACCTCATGGGCTGCCTGTGAGGATGCAGTGGGACCCCCTAATCATGGGAGTGAGAAAGGGGCCCAGCTAATACCTGACGCACACTGGGGGCCAAGTAAATATGACCCTCCAGCCTTCCTCCTCTGCTTCCATGTGTCTGTCTCTTAGCTGATGTGGTTCCCAGCCTCTCTAAGGCCCCTTCTGTGGCAGCAAGCCTGTTTCCCACTGTCCTCTCTCCCCTCGGCTCTGTGGGTGTGGGTGACCTGCAGTGTCCCTACCCCTGGGCACAGCCCCGGTGTGCCTGTGTGGGGATGGCCACTCCCACCTGCCCAGCCCACTTCCAGGGAGGCCTCTGCAGTTCCAGAGCTCGCTCCAGCCCCCAAGCCCCTTCAGCCAGTCTGGGCCACCTGTCCGCCCTCCTGCCTTTCCACACTTGTCTGACGTGCCTGTGCAGTTCTGCCCTCCCAGGGCTCCCTGCTCCTTTCTTTCTTTGGTCTTGGGTGTCTGTAGGTCTGTCTCTGTGCAGCGGCCCCTGTCCATCTCTAGCTTCCCGTGGCTTTCTCTGCCTTCCTGGGTTTCTCTGGGTCTCAGACTTTCTCCCACTGTACGTCTGTGTGTATGGTGTGTGTGAGGCTGTGTATGTTTGTGTTGGGGAGAGTATGTGGCTTTGTATGTGGGTGTGTGCCTGTGTACATGTGCATGTCTCTGTGTATGTCTGCATGGCTGTGCACATGTGTGTATCTGAGCATGCTGTGTGTGGCTGTGTACATGTACATGGCTGTGTCCATGGTGTGTGTATGTCTATGACGTATATGTACCTGTGTGCGTGTCTGTGTGTGCATGGTTGTGTACATGTGTGTATCTGCATGGTGTTTGTGCATGGCTGTGTATATGTACATGCCTATCTGTGTCTGCATGCATGTTATCTGTGTGTGGGTGCATGCCTGTGTGTGTCGCCCTGGCGCTGCATCCCCCTTCTGTCTCCCTTGTCAGGAGGCCAGGCCAGCCAAGGAGGGCCAGGATGAGATCATGCAGTGAGTGAGCTTGGAGCGGGGCTTTGTCAGGAGAGCTGGCGGTGAGCCGGCCGTGGTGCAGGAGCACGTGTGTGCATGTGCGTGCATGCATGCGTGTGTGTGTGTGCGTGTGTGTGTCCTGGGAGAGTGCGCAGGAGGCGAGCACAGGCAGTCACTGCAGCAGCCGCCAGGCAGGCGGCTCCACGCGGCCCTGGACGCCCAGCCCCCAGCTCTTTGTTCTGGCGCAGCCTTTAGCCTCAGAGCGCACGTGCGCGGGCGGGATCCTCCTCCTCACCAGGCCCCCTCCCTCCTCAGTACAGAAGGTCACCTGCCTGGCCCGGCATCCTGATGCTCCCTTGATTCTCCCCAGGCCGGGCCTTAGCATTGCCCCACCCCCACCTTCCATGCCAGCCCGAGGGGACTTGGCGGGCAGCACTGAAATGTCAGCCTCCTCATCACCTAGCAGTCCCACGCCTGCTGGCAACGTGGGCACCAAGCACCAGGCAGTCGCCATGTCGAGGTCCCCAAGAGCCTTCTGCCTGTCTCAGCTCCTGTCCATGCTTGAAGAAAGCCATATGGCCTCAGCTGACCCGTGAGCAGCCAGTCACTGTTGAAATAATCGAATAGGGAATGCTGGAGCCCAGGGCCCAGAGAGGGGAGGACCCACCCCAAGTCCTAGCGAGGCAGGGCCAGAGTCCAGAAGAGAGCCCGAATGCCTGCTGCCTTCTCGCGCCCTTCCTGTCTTCCTGAGGCTGGCCTCACAGCTGTGGGCTCCCACCCTCATGCTATTGGCAAAGTCAAAACGCAGAGAGAGCAGCAGGTCCAGGAGGCCTTGGAGCTTCCGCAGGATGTCCTGAGACAGGTCGTCAGAACTCAGGAGAGTGGTGAGAACTGGAAGAACTGCCACCACTGAGGAAGAGGCCAGCTTTCCTTAGGGATGAGTGGCTGGTGGCTGTCAATCAGAAAACACAGACTGGCTGCTCATAGGCCAGATGTGGCCCACAGACACCTGAGATTGGACCACTCAATGTTTTTTTTTTATGCATACAAGTTGCCAGCATTCACTGTTTAGGAAATTTGTACAACAGAGTCAAATGCCTGGCTTCCTTTGAGTGGGAATCTTGGACCCGCGTCCTCACAGCTGACTGGGACTGACTGGGTGGTGGTGGCTAACCTCTGGGACAGGCGCTGTGCCCTCCCCATCCTTCTCTATTGTCTCACACCCATGGCCTTCCCCACCGTTGGAAACCAGCCCTGTGGACATGAGTGTTTCTGACCTCTGTTCAAGGACACCCTCCCATCTCAACGCAGCAGCCCGAGTCCTGGGTCCCATGCAGAGTGGATCGCTTACTTTTTGTCCACAAACATCTCCTCAGCCTGGTTTCCCTGATGTTTTGACAGTCCCCAGAGGAACTGACAGCCATGGGAAATGTCAGCAGATCACAAGAGGGGGGCTGAGACATGCCCTGGGCCCCTGGCCAGCCTGGGAGGTAAAGATTCAGGAATGCAAAGGGGTCCCTGTCTCACCCTCCCTGTCTGTGGCCTGTGGTCCATGGAGAGAGTGCTTGGGAGAGGCTGGGTACTTCACTGGAGCTCTCGATCCCAGGGAGCTTCTATAACAACTTGTGCAGCAGCCCCAGGGCTCAGAGAAAGACCCTGACCCCAAGGGCCCTGGAGAGTGCTCCAGCCTTCAGATTGTTGGGAGAGGCACAGGTGTCAGAGGCCAGCCAAGTCATTTCTACCTCTTCTGCTCAGGACACCTTAAGCCAGGTCATAAACCACTGTTTCAACTTCTGTCTTTGAAAGCAAGCCCTCTTGCTCTCACCTGGCTGAATGGTGGACTCTCAGACCCCGTGGTGGTGGGGACATTCCTGGTCTCTTTTGGTGGCTTGACTCCGATCTCCCCCTCACGCCTCCCTTGTGGCTGCTCTCCACCCCTCTCTGCCTCTGCCCACCCCAGAACATGCAGCCGCCTTCCCGTTACTGGGAGGACAAATGGCCTTATTCAGGGACACCCTGCCAGAGCTGTCTCTCTAAGACAAAGCTGTGCGCAGCTCTGCGTGAAAAACAGCTCGCGGCCGCCCAGTGAGCAGGCAGGATTGGTGGGTGCAAATTGCAGGGGATTTGTTACCAGCTGCCGGTGCCCCAGAGACAGCAGGCAGGCAGGCCCTTGCCCTTGAAATGCCAGCCGCCTGGCAGGCTGGGGCACCTTTTCAAGGTCGGGACAGACTTCTTCCTGGACACCGGCCCCCACCCCCACATACAAGCTCAGCAAAGCTGGGATGTTGGGGAGGGGTTTGGCTTCCTTCCTCCTGCTGGGCTGTCTCCACCGCCCCGGTCAGGTGCCCCTACAAGGGGCTCTGGATTTCATCACCCGGCCCTCTCAGAACTGACTCATGGTCAGATCTGTTTAGTGGACGAAACCTGTTCACGCGCTCACCTCCCTCTGTTTCAGTGCCGTGGGAAAGGCAACTGGCGCTCTTATCAGCATGCCCATTAATAGAGGAGGAAACGGGAAGACACAGACCCAGGTCACATGGCTTCTGGTGCTGGAAGCAGGTCTGATTTCTAGGATGGTCAGATGTGGAGTACAGGGAACCACCTCCCTCTGAATTACCCTGGGTGAACTGGTGGGTGGCCTGGCCTGGGCCAGGGGCCCTGGCCTCCGTCCCCTCCCCCACCTCCCTGAGGGATGAGGCCTGAGATCCGGTGGCCTCACTGTGCTCTTGGAGAAAAGGGATGGTTTATGGACACAGTGTTCCCAGGCCAAGGAATTGGGGGGAGGGGCAGCTGTGATGGTCCCTGGGGTTCCAGGAATGAGCAGTGGGGAGGGGCCCTGCCATGCCCAGAATGAGAAAGGGCAGATGTGGAAACAACTTCCAGGCTATTTCTACGGCCATTAAAACGAGGTCTCCAAAGAATGATGACTATGTGGGAATGCTTACATGTAATATTAACTTTCCAGAAGGATAACAGAGTGCTAGACTTAGTATGATCCCAGCCAGGTGCAAAAACAAAACGTACATGTATTTAGGCACAGACACCAGAAGAGAATATACCAAAATGTCAACTTACAAGTAATGGCTCTATCTGGAGGGGGCCGGAGGGTGACTCTTTTCTTTGTTTCCCACATTTTCTTCTTTCTGTTTTTAAGCAGAAGCAGCAGCAGTCATGGGTTTCTTCAGAGTTTGGTTGGAGTTGGCAGGGGCAGGGTGAGAAGGAGAGCCGGCAGCTCCTGGCTGGGTCAGCAGTTTTCCTAGCGCAGCCCTCTCTGGTTCCCCGAGAGCTCCAGGGGACAGACCTCTCATCTGGGGGATTAGCTCATCACTGGCCCCCCTGCCTACAGAGCGGGGGTGTACACAAGGACACCCTGGGCCGAGCCAGTGGGTACCTGCTTTCCAGGCCTGTCCAAAATGAGAGGGGAGCCTGGAGGATGGGACCCTAAGAAGGGCCTGCTTCTGTCACCAGGGCCCTCAGCAGCCCACCCCCTATGCCGCCCCACGGCCACCTGATTGGGATAGGGGATCTGCACAGTGAGTAGGAGTAGGCATTAACGAGGTCTGTAGTAGGGGAAGGCCAGGCTGCTGCAGGCATTGCAACTAGATGATGTGTGTCTGAGTGTGGGTTCCCACAGGCAGAGCCTGCGGTGAGGATTCCAGTGCAAGTTGTTCCTTCAGGAGGATCCCAGAAAGCACTGATCGAGAAGTGGAGGAAATGAGATGGGGAAGGGAAGGAAATCAGTGAAAAGAGTGGTTAGGAAGCACGTAACCTGCTGTGGACACCTGGGGCTCAGTCCTGCTGGGAGTGCTGGCAGCTAGAATGTGCCCCTTACCCACCTGAGAGGCGAGGAGGAGGAGGCATTTCTCCACCATCTCTCCACCATTATTGGGCAAGGTCAGCTTGAGGTCGGGGAGCAGGTGGATGAACCCTTGGCACTCGAGTTAGCAGAAAACGCCCAGGCAGAGTCCCAGTGCATGCAGTAAGCAGAGGCTGTGTAGAAGAAGCACCCACAGTGCCTGCAACAAGATGCTTTCCAGACTCAGTCACTGGCATCACACCCCCATCATCTCTGCTTTATTTCAGTACCGCTTGTATTAAGATTGAGTTCTTAATATTTCTTAAAGGAAATTTTATATTGCTTCCTTAAATGGCAGATCAGTCTCCCTTACCACATTCAGAAACTGCCAAAACAAAGACAGTAGAAACCATACCTTGTCTCCTAGTTTAGCTACAGGTGACTGCTCAATGATGGAGGGTGAGCCAGTTCTCTGCTAGTTAAAAAGGGAGGTGATGGCCGGGTGCAGTGGCTCACCCCTGTAATCCTAGCATTTTGGGAGGCTGAGGTGGGAGGATCACTTGAGCCCAGGAGTTTGAGACCAGCCTGGACATCATAGTGAGACATCTCTACAAAAAAATTTTTTTAATTAAAAAAAAGGGGAGGTAAAGGGTGAAGGGGTTTAGAAAAGGCTTAAAGACCAGTGAGCACCAAACTACTGAGCCTCTCTTCTTAGAAACAACAGCATCCCAATGATGGAAAGACAGCTGAGGTTGCAGTGGTTCTCCCACTGGGACCTGTGACTACCTAAGCAACCTGGGGGGCCATATCACCTAGACCACACTTGAGGGTGCCCTAGTTAAGAAGTGCAGCTCTGAAGGAGGCTCTGGGGCCTGGGGTAGGCTGTGCCCTGCCCAGCAGCCGTCTCATCCTCAGTCTGTCCATCTACACCATTTCTCTGCCTTCACGGCTGCAGGAAGAATGATGAGGCCGTGGGTGTGAGAGTGCCTCTTAAAATAAAAAATACTAAACTGGAATTTTAAGGGCGAGGGATGACAAGCTTCTTGTGCCAGGCCCACCTCATGCTAAGCACAGGGCCTACAAACACATACACATGCAATACACGCAGTCCCTTCTCTCCTGGTTTGAAATAAGTGAATGCTCCCATTCTGTGGGTGGGAGATGGCAGTAACCGTGCAGGGCCACACAGCCCTTCACCCTCCCTTACATGTCCAACCCTATGACTCCTCCAGATGAGCTTGTTCCCATTTTAAGGGGAAAATAGAGGCTCTGAGGGGTGGGGAGGTGGTCTCGGCAAGGGCAGAAGTGGGACCAGAGCTCTGGCCAGGCCATCCCTGCATCTCTGCAGGTCACCAGGGACTCAGTGGTGCTCCCGAGGAGCTGGAACAGCTTCTCTGGAGATGCAGGGCCACAGGTATCACCATGCCTGCCTTCCCGAGCCTTCCTGCATCTGCCTCTAGCCACCCTATCCACAGGTGCACCCAGGACAGAGGTCCTGCCAAAACAACCCCCACCAGCACTGCCCCAGGTTGCCCTGAGGATGCCATGGCTGCCCAAGGAGTTAAAAAAGCCATTGGCAGCAATTAATTCTGTAGAGGAAAGAGCCAGGTAAGAGGATTAAGGAAGCCAGAGCTTTGGTTTTAAGATGGAGCTTAGCATTCTCGCCCCCAGAGGAGGGATTTCAGGGGATTCGAGGGTGTGAGAGTGAAATGGAGCAGGGCCTCGGTAGAAGGTGGGCAGGCTGGTTGTGGAACTTTTTTTAACCAAGTGTTGCAAGCCACAGCCTTGTAAATACCTTGTAAATACCAAAGTATGTACCTTCTGGGTTAGACAGACAGATAGGCATTAATGATGGTACGGTTATCATCAGTTTTGCCTCTTTAGACATACAGAGCCAGGACAGGTCAGGGAAGGGCATCTGGATTAGGAAAAGATCTGATTCCTAGCCCCTTTCAGTCATGATGCAACCAACATTAAGTTCTGCATTTTCTCTGTAACAGGCACTGCCTTGAGTATCCATGAACTCACTTATCCCACATGGTGATCCCAGGTACTCATATCTACCCCATTTTACAGATGAGGAAACTGAGGTTTAGATAAATAAAATAATTTGACCAGGGCTTTCTGGCCAAAAAGAGCCAAAATTGTGATTCAAACAAGAACATTCAACCCCAAAGCCACCAGCTGCCCCTGCTTTCTATGAACAGGTTAAAATGAAGTCTTGGGAAAGACACAGTAATGATTTGAGAGCTGCCAAAGATCACCTGAACTGCTTGCAAGTGGAGGCCTTAAGTGTTTGACAATGATTTGTCCTTGCTGGTAGGTTAAACACCCTCCCATCTTTGGGCTCATTCAACACTCAGGGTCCCATGGATGATGAATAGCAGAGAGCCTGGGTCAGCCCCAATTTCAGATATTTTTTCCAGAAGCCATTCAGCTGTTTCATAGAGAAGGGTGGTCATTAAAAAGCATGGATTCTGGAGTAGCCTGTCTGGGTGTGAATCCCACCCAGCCCCCTAATCACCAGTTCTGAGACCTTGGAAGAGTCAGTTAACTCCTTTGTGCCATGGTTCTCTCGTTTGACAAAAGGGGATTATAATAATGCCTACATCATAGGTTTTAAGTGGGTTAAGGTCTATACAGTGCTTGGAACAGGGCCAGGTGTATAGGACATGCTGTATATGCGTGAGAAATTTTATTCCAGCCTGTTGGCATTCATGCTCTCTGAAATGCCTCTCATACCTGGAGGTAGCACAAAACCTAGTGTTGTAAAAATATGGAACCCTTATGTGTAGGTAGGGCCAAGGTAAATGCCAGTCACACCACCTCCAAGGGTGTGGAGATGAGTGGGACCCTGTTAACTAAGGTGGGGTAAATGGGGTCTCCAAGACAGCAGAGGTTTAGATGGGGCTAAGAATGCATCCCCCCTTTCCCCAAAAAAGAATCTGAGCCACTGTGCAGGAGGCAGGCAGCCCTGCAGAAGGGGAAAGTAGAGAGCTGGCAGAGGGAGGCTGGACAGGGCCCACAGCACCCTGTCTGTGCCCTGGGCAAGGGATGTTTGAAGGCCTCTGTCTCACCATTCCCATCCTGTCTGTGCCCTGGGTGAGGGAAACCTTGAGGGCTTCTGTCTCGCCAAGTCTTCCCAGCAGCCCAGCTCAAAATTATTCAAAGATTGGTAGGAGGAAGAGAAAGTAACATTTAAAGTACCATTTATTGAGCTACTGCTTCATGCCATGCATTGCAGCTGGGTATTTTATGATCCTCATGAGAATCCAACCCATTCTATAGATTAGGAAACTGACGCTCAAAGAGATTTATTCACTTGTCCAAAGTAGCTCAACCCTTTGTATAACAAGGCAAGGGATGAGTGAAGACATGGCTCTGAGTGGATGGATGTGTGGGCCCTTGAGTCTGAAGAGAAGAAGGAAGAATCAAGAGACTGGGGGAGGAGGGTTGTGGACCTGGGCCTGCCCCAACTCCAAATATGGTGCTCCTTCTCCTCCTCCATGGTTGTGCCTTCTTCTCTTCCTCCTTCCCTGGGATCAGACTCATTGTGAATGTGCCTCTTGCCTGTTCCCAGGGCCCATCTGGCACACAGGGGCAGGGAGGAAGGCTCAGGCCAACAGACCCCTGCCCTCTTGCCCCTGTGAGCTGCCCAGGTCAGCATGCATGGCAGAGCAAGGGCTCGGAGGTGAGGGTTCAGGCCCTGGAAATGGGTCTCTGCCTGCAGGCCCCTAGCCCCTCCTTGCCTCCACCATTTCAGTGTTCCCTGAGTCAGGGCCAGCTAGCTTCTGGTATGGGGCTAGTCTCAGGCTATGTAGAGCCCAGTGCTGGAAACCAGAATTGGGGGTAGCCTAGGACAGGGACCTGAGCTTGGGCTTCAAGATCAGGCTGACGTGGGCCTGGTTTAGCTCTGCAGCTTCCATGCTATATGTATCCCCGGCCTCATCTCCCAGCCTCTCATGAAATGATAGGTACCAAGTATGTAGCATAAACTGCCATCTCATGAGGGCTCTGCATGTAATAGTTCTGATTATTTTGAAGTCCTGCTTTACAGTCCAGGCTCTGAGACCTACTTGCTATGTGACTGTATGCAAATCACTCTCTCCACTGAGCTTGGGGTCCCACAGATCTAGAATCCAGCTCTCCTGGCTGGAGCAGCAGCAATTCTGTTTCCATGGTAACCCAGCTGTCTCTCCAGGGACCATCTGGATCTCCTCACCCTGACAAGGTGCGGCCCAGGCAACCAGGTGTTTGTGTTTTGCAGTGGAAGCTCTGCAAGGTGGTAATTCCCCTCACTGGGGACAGGGCGGTGGCCAGGCAGATGGCTGGAGGGAAGCAGAGCCTCCTTGCCGGCTGCCTGTGCTGTTCTGAGCCCAGAGAGACACAGAACCCAGAGCTCGGGAAGTCTGGCCACGGCTTTCCTTGAAGAGTTATTAACAGATGCTTCATTATATTCCTAGGAAAGCTTCCTGGCTTGTTGAGGCTGGCCAGGTGAGAAACACTGCCTGGGGCTGGACTCCTGTAGGGAATTCCAGAGGACCCAGTCTCACCTGTTTGGGATGAAGAGACACTATTGTCTCTGCAGGAAACAGGAATTACTGGGGGGAAACATTAGCAGTCTGCCTTTCAAACAGGCACATAATTATAATGACGGCAGAAACTCAGCGCACAGGATAAGCTAAATTCACCCCTTCAACGTAAGCTCATGGGTAGCTATTATGTTTAGACTCTGTGATCCGTACTTAGGGAACCCTGTACTCCCAAAGGAGCTCACAGACCCAGACCTGGCAGGGACATGCTTAGGAAAAGATGGTGTCAACAGACCCACAACACAGAACCACACTGTGGGGTGGGGAAGCAGAGAGGCGGGACCAGCCACTTCCAGCAGGAAGTTTCCAACCTGGACTGGGTTGGGACGGTGAGGGGATAGTCATCTGCCATCAGTTTACATAGGTGAGCCCCTTGACTTACAACAGCCCGCAACAGGGATCCCCTGTGCTTCTTT
Organism: Homo sapiens; assembly: GCF_000001405.40. Taxonomy (NCBI): domain Eukaryota; kingdom Metazoa; phylum Chordata; class Mammalia; order Primates; family Hominidae; genus Homo; species Homo sapiens. Next base: position 79,229,960 of record NC_000010.11, read on the forward strand.
CCCAGGTGAGGAAACTGAGGCTCAGAGAGGTTAAGTCCCTTGCCCAGGGTCACACAGCTAGGGAGGGACTGAGCCAGGATCAGAACTGACTCGTTGCACCCTGTGTGGGGACGCTGCCCTCCTCCGTAGGTTGCCCTGGGAGGCTCCGGCCGAGCAAAACAGTTCTCTGCCTCTGTCCTTTTGGCTCTTTCTCTCTCTCCCCGCCCCCCTTTCTCCTTCCTCTCTTTCACTCTCCCCGTCTCCTTTCTCCTCCTTTCCCTCTCTCCCCCACTTCCTTTGTCTCTCCCCTTTCCCCTTGGGACCACTGCTCCGTGCACCACAGGTCCTGCTGCTCGGCTCTGCCAGGGTCATCTGCAGCGTCTGCTCTAGGTGGCCGGCTATCTGCTCACAGGCTGCTGCCCTGCTCCAGCCCTGGGCCACGCCCCCAGAAATGCCTGCTGTTGTTTAGCTCTGCCCCCTCCTGAGGACCCTCAGCCAAGGAAGTGACATCATTGCATACATTCCCATTTCCTCCAGGCTCCGTGTGGTCTTGAGCCCACTCTCAGATGTGCGCCCCAGATGTTTAGAATCACTTCCTCCCAATTAAGCGTCTGCCGGGAGTCGAGGGGCCCGCCTGTGTGCAGGGTCCATGTCTGTTCAAAAGGGTCTCAGAAGAGAGAAAATGGGAACTCCTCCCTGCACAGACGGCGGGAAAGTGGTTCACTGTTGAGCTCCCTGGGGAAGCCGGGAAGCCAGCACTCTGAAGCATGCTGGATGCGGTGGAGGTGGTGCCTGTGCTTGATTGTCCGCCCGTGTGGAAGCGCGAGGATGTGCAGGTGGCCCAGTGGTCTCCAGGGAGAGATTTGAGTGTCAGGGCCTCTGTGCCTAGTTCTCCTCCCTCTCCAAATGGAAAGAGAACTGTGGGAGGAGAAAAACAAAAGAGAAGAAAGACACAGCCCCTCTAAAGAAGGAGGGCACAGGTGCCAAGGTGGCCCCATGGGTCAAGGCCCAGGGTGTGGACCCCTCCTCCGAGGGCACTCATGCCCTGCTCGGGCTAGGCTAGGTTTTAGGGTTCCGGTCCTGTGCCTCCTCCTGGGGTGCCTTTGCTCTGTGTCAGAGTCACATGTCCACACAGCTAGGCAGATGACACAAAGATGGCATCTCACTGAAGATACAGAAGTGATCAGGGGCACCAGAGTGCCCAGCCCCACCAAGGGGACAGCTGCTACACAGGGGCCACCTGAGGCCATGCGTGACACACACCCAGAACTGCCAGCACTTGTGATTCCACAAGAAGCTTGGAGTTATTGTTTTTGTTTTTGTTTTGAAACGGAGTTTCACTCTTGTCATCCAGGCTGGAGTGCAATGGCGCGATCTCAGCTCACTGCAACCTCTGCCTCCCAGGTTCAAGCGATCCTCTTGCCTCAGCCTCCCCAACAGCTGGGGTTGCAGGCAACCACCACCATGGCTAATGTTTGTATTTTTAGTAGAGATGGGGTTTCACTGTGTTGACCAAGCTGGTCTTGAACTCCTGAACTCAGGTGATCTGCCCGCCTCGGCCTCCCAAAGTGCTAAGATTATAGGTGTGAGCCACCATGCCCAGCCTAGGAAGCCTGGTGGGGGGTTTTGTTTGTTTGTTTTTTGTTTTTTTTTGTTTTGAGACGGAGTCTCGCTCTGTCACCCATGCTGGAGTGCAGTGGCACGATCTTGGCTCACTGCAACCTCCGCCTCTCGTGTTCAAGTAATTCTCCTATCTCCGCCTCCCAAGTAGCTGGAATTACAAGCACACGCCACCACGCCTGGCTAAAATACAATTTTTAGTAGAGATGGGGTTCCACAAAGTTGGCCAGGCTGGTCTCGAACTCCTGACCTCAGGTGATCCACCTGCCTCAGCCTCCCAAAGTGCTGGGATTACAGGCATGAGCCACCGTGCCCGGTCATGCCTGGTGTTTTTAATGCTATTGACCACTCCTGTGCAGCTAGTCCAGTGAGACTGAGGCTGGCTCTTGGGTGGCCAGTGGAGGCACTGGGCTGAAATCATTTGAGGAACAATGGACCCATGAATGATGGGAGGAGGGTCAGTTTTTGGAGAATCTAGTGGAGGTTGGCCACCTTGAGCTTGCCTCCTGCTCTCCTGCTTTAGAGCTGTGTGACTTTAAGGAACTGACTTAACCTCTCTGATCCTCAGCTGTTGCATCAGGAAACGGGGCTAACTGTAACCCTCGTTTGGTGCTGTCTGCGTTGAGGATTAAATGGGAGGATATAAGGGAAAACTGTGCCCTGCATGTAGTGAAAACTCAGTGTCTTATTTGCTACATCCCAATGACTGAGACAGAATAGGTGAGTGGGTGGTACCCCTGCACCCCTCAAAAAATCACTTATGGGAGGAAGATGGCTGGTATGGGAAGGAGGATACTGTGTGTTGGACAGCAAAGGGGAAGCAGGAGGACGGTGTATTTTTGGAGGTCACAAGATACATAATAATTCATAGGTATACATAATAAGTATTGGTGGTAGGGTTACATTATCGTTACTGTTCCTCTCTGACATGAATGTCAGAGTGTAGAGGGCTTTGAGGATCACCTAGCCCAAGCCCCAGTTTAATCTGAGAAGAGACTGACACAGGGTGGGGGATGCAATCTTCCCAGCATCCCTCATCGTACCAGGGGCGAGGCTGGCATTACTCCTGCTATTATTGCCACCATACCTTTATGTGAAACCCTAACATCATCCTACTACTACTGCCAATCAGTTAAGGAGTTACCATGTTTTAGATGCTAGGCAAAATACTGCATGCACATCCTCTCCTTTCAGCTTTACGAAAATATTAAGGTGCAGGTGCGGAAGGAATGTGAGCTAAACCCCCTCCTGCTTCTTCTGACTTGGTGTCCCTGTGCAAGATGTGCCACTTTGAGCCTCCATTTCCTCATCTGTGGAATGGGAACAGCACCACCTGCCCCCTGGGGTTCCAAGCATCCAAGGGGCTAAGTGATAGGAAGTACTGATGCCCAGTACTGGTTCCATGAATGCCTGGGGAATCTGGAGGCTCCCTCTTGGCTCCTGGCTTCCAGCCACGCCCCCGACACCAAGGCCTCTGTCAGTACTGGTTGTTCCTCAGTGCAATTAGGTAATTAGGCCAAATTCAATTACACACCACACTCCCAGGTTTGTCTGGGGCCCAAGGGGGGTGTGGGCTCCCCTTGTTGAGGGGGAGCAGCAGAAGCACTGGCTTGGTTCCCAGGGCTGGGCCTTCCCACTGTGCCTCTCAGAATACTGCCTGCATCCTGCATCGCAGCTGGGGAGACTGAGGCAGGGAACAGGCAGCATTGCTTGGCCCCTGCCTTAGTCTGTTCAGGCTGTTATAGCAAAATACCTTTGACTAGGTAACTTACAAACAATAGCAATTGATCACTCCCTGTTGCAGAGGCAAGATCAGGCTCTGGCAGATTTGATGTCCAGTGAGGGCACGCTCCCCGTAGATGGCACCTTCTGGCTGTGTCCTCACATGGGTGCAAAGAGCGCCCTCAAGCCTCTTTCATAAGGCACTGGTCCCATTCATGAAGGTGTATTCCTGATGACCTAATCCTCTCCCAAAGGCCCCAGCTCTTCGTACCATCTCAATGGATTAGATTTCAACACGTTAACTTAGAGAGGCACAAACACTCAGACCACAGCAACCCCAAACCGTAGCATCCACAGGGCTGAGATCACCATGCCTGATTTTTTTCCCCTCCTGGAGAGCGTCACCCCAGACTGCTGGCCCACAGCTCACCTTCCCTTTCAAATTCATCAGCAGGGGCCTGGCTCCTCATCCTCTGGAAAAGCCCAAAGATTGGTAGGGAGGGTGGGGGGGCCTCAGCTTCCCTCTGCCACCCCTGGATTTGCAGCAGTTTCCCCTCCTAGCTGCAGGCTGGCACCCAGCTGCTGCCCAACACTTTGATCGGCATATGGATCTTTTGGGAGAGCAGGGGCTCTAGTGAAGTTGGGCAAACCAGAGTGTATATATGTCTTTAAGGGTCTTGCCGGGGGAGTCAGGCGAGAGCAACCCAGGCTGAGGGCAGCAAGA